>NC_000007.14:152640197-152791713 GCF_000001405.40 Homo sapiens
TATTTATTTATTCTGAGACAGAGTCTCGCATGTTGCCCCAGCTGGAGTGCAGTGGCACAAGCTCAGCTCACCGCAACCTCTTTCTCCTGGGTTCAAGCGATTCTCCTGCCTCAGCCTCCTGAGTAGCTGGGATTACAGGTGTCCACTACCACGCCCGGCTAATTTTTTGTATTTGTAGTAGAGACGGGGTTTCACTATATTGGCCAGGCTGGTCTCAAACTGCTGACCAAAGTACTGGGATTACAGGCGTGAACCACCGACCCTGGCTGAAACATTCCAATAGTTAAAGCTGGTAAAGTTGGGTAGGTCTGTGGACATAACAGAGCAGATGCTGTGAAAGCAAAGCAGAGAACTGGGCGTACTTGGAAGCGGAAGTGCGGTGGGACCGAAAGGGAGAAGGTGGACGCGTCTAAGAAACCAAAGTCTACTTTCCCTCCCACATCCAACCATGAAGCTTTTTACAAAATGTGGAGGCCAGAACACCCTATTTGTATGTGTGTGTATGTTATGATTATTGTAATATGTGATGAGTTATGAGGAATATTAAAAAAAGAACTCGATGAACTGACTGGAACATTCCCAAATAGCACGCTGCTGGTCCCCTGCTTTTCTTCTAATTTTAGCATATATTGTTTAGTTTTGTTTTTGAACCTTATTTTAAAAGGCATCTCCACACGAAGACTTGTAAATTGATATTCATTGCAGCATTAATCAAAATAGCCCCAAATTGGAGACAATCCAAATATCCATCCATTGACGTTGGATTTTTAAAAAGTGTCATATTTGTGCAATGGAATATTATACAGCTATAAGGACTAAACTGGCTGGGTGCGGTGACTCACTCCTGTAATCCCAGCACTTTGGAAGGCTGAGGTGTGTGGATCACTTGAGCCCAGGAGTTCAAGACCAGCCTCCGTAACGTGGCAAAACCCCATCTCTGCAAAAAATACAAAAATTAGCTAGGTGTGGAGGCACATGCCTGTAATTTCCAGCTACTCAGGAGGCCGAGAGGCAGGAGAATTGCTTAAGCCCAGGAGGCGGAGGTTGTGGTGAGCTGAGATAGCACCATTGCACTTCAGCCTGGGTGACAGAGTGAGACCCTGTCTCAAAAAAAAAAAAAAAAAAAAAAAAAAGGAATAAACTATTGACATATATTATGACATGGATGAATCTTGAAAACATACTAAGTGAAAGAAGACTCGGACCACAGAGTATATGATTGTATGTATTTGAAATGTCCATAGCAGGCAAATGCAGACAGAAAACAGTTTAGGATATTACCAGGAGCTGGGGAAGAGAAGGGCATGAGGAATGACTACTAAGTGGTATGGGGTTTCTTTTCTTTCTGGGGTGATGACAATGTTCTAAAATTAAATGGTCGCAGAACTTGGAGTTGACTAAAACCACCAAATAGTATACTTTAATAGAGCAAATCGTATAGTATGTGAGTTATGTCTTTTTTTTTTTTTTTTTTTGAGATGAAGTCTTGCTCTTGTCCCCAAGGCTGGAGTGTGGTGGCGCGATCTCAGCTCACTGCAACCTCTGCCTTCCAGGTTCAAGTTATTCTCCTGCCTCAGCCTCCCGAGTAGCTGGGATTACAGGTATGCACCACCATGCCCACCTAATTTTGTATTTTTACTAGAGATGGAGTTTCACCATATTGGTCAGGCTGGTCTCAAACTCGTGACCTCAGGCAATCCACCCACCTTGGCCTCCCAAAGTGCTGGGATTACAGGCATGAGCCACGGTGCCTGGCCGAAGGTATTATTTTAAAAGGTATTATATTGAAGGTATTCCTTTGTAATGTTCTTTAAGAAAAAGCAGACTCCACCCTCAGTCCCTTCCTCTCCCTGCCCAACCCCACCCCTTCCTTAGCCTCTGAAAAAAAAGAAAAAGTAAAAAAAAAAAAAAAAAAAAGAGAAAATTCGGGATTACGTTTGTATGATTTATTTCCTGTTTATGCATCCGACAGTAGTGCATTCATTTTTAATGCTGTCGGGTGCTTCCTTGTATGAATATGCCACCATTTGTTTATCCATTCTGTTGTGAATGGATGTTTGAGTTGATTCTGGCTTTTGTTGTTATGAATAATGCTAATATAAATATATTTATACATCTTTCCTGACACACATGAGCAAGAATCTCTCAAGGATATATGCCACGTTGAAGGGTATTATGTGTATTTAACTTTGAAAAATAATGCCAAACCAGGCGTGGTGGCTCATGCCTGTAATCCCAGCACTTTGGGAGGTCGAGGCAGGCGGATTACAAGGTCAAGAGATCGAGACCATCCTGGCCAACATGGTGAAACCCCATCTCTACTAAAAATACAAAAATTTGCTGGGTGTGGTGGCAGGTGCCTGTAATCCCAGTTACTCAGGAGGCTGAGGCAGGAAAATCGCTTGAACCCGGGAGGCGGAGGTTGCGGTGAGCCGAGATCACGCCACTGCACTCCAGCCTGGCGTCAGAGCGAGACTCTGTCTCAAAAGAAAAAAAAAAAGAAAGAAAAATAATGCCAAGTTCGTTTTCCAGGTGCTTGCACTTCTTTGGTTTGACTTTGCCAGCAGCACAGAGTTGGCATTATTTGTTGCACATCTTCTTCGCGACTCGGTAATGTCAGCCTTTAAATTTCTGTCATCCAAGTGTGCGTGAAATGACACCTTACTGAACTCTTAATTTGTATTTGCAATTACCAATGAGATTGAACATCATTTCATGTTTTTTGACCAGTCCTGTTTCTTTTCTGTGAAATGCCCCTGAATATCCTTTGCCCATTTTTCTACTTATTTTGTCTTGATTTATGTATACGTACATATTTGTGTGCACATATATACACACTTATGAGTATACACACTACATTTTGGTTTTAATATTAAACGTGTTGTTCGCATGGGTTGCAAATATACTCTGTTTGTAGCTTCTCTTTTTGCTTTGTTGATGGAATCTTTGATGAGTAAAAATTATAAGTACTGATGTAATACAGTTTTCAGTTGCATCTTTTTCCATCATGTATCATCCATCCTTGTTACAAGGATTTGAATAGTCCATCCTTTCCACAATGATTTGCTGCTTCTGAAATATGCTAAAGTCCATACGTGTGGGTTTGTTCTGAAGCTCTATATTCTGTTCTACTTGTGTATCCTTTTACCAATAGCATACTCTCACTTTAGCGACAATTTTTTTTTTTTTTTGAGACGGAGTCTTGCTCTGTCGCCCAGGCTGGAGTGCAGTGGTGTGATCTCGGCTTAGTGCAACTTCCGCCTCCCGGGTTCAAGCAATTCTCCTGCCTCAGCCTCCGTAGTAGCTGGGACTACAGGCGTGCGCCACCATGCCCAGCTAATTTTTGTATTTTTAGTAGAGACGGGGGTTTCACTATGTTGGCCAGAATGGTCTTGATCTCTTGACCTCGTGATCCGCCCACCTTGGCATCCCAAAGTGCTGGGATTACAGGCCTGAGCCACCATGCCTGGCCTTAACTACATATCCTTACATCGAATAGGGTAAGTTCCCCTACATCAGCCTCCTTTAAGAACACTTAGCAGCCAGGCTGGGTGCAATGGCTCACACCTGTAATCCCAGCACTTTGGGAGGCCGAGGCAGGCAGATCACTTGTGGTCAGGAGTTCAAGACCATCCTGGCTAACATGGTGAAACCCCGTCTCTAGTAAAAATACAAAAATTAGCCGGGCGTGCTGGCATGCGTCTGTAATCGCAGCTACTCGGGAGGCTGAGGCAGGAGAATTGCTTGAACCCAGGAGGCAGAGGTTGCAGTGAGCTGAGATCGTGCCATTGCACTCCAGCCTGGGCGAAGAAGCAAGCCTCTGGAAGAAAGAAAGAGAGAGAGAGAGAGAGAAGAAAGAACACTTAGCTCGGATCTCCCTTTGAAAGTGAGTTATCTGACAGCGTCCAGCTAAAGTGCCTTTTGCTCTGCCACAGTATATGAGCTGAGGTCATGTGCTCCTCATGAATACTTCTGCCCAGTGAGGGTGTCCTCCAGACAATCTTTGCATAGGAGTTCCCTGGTGGACAGGCCAAGACTTTCTTTGAGCTGTGCTGTCAGTCTGAAGTTCTTCCTCCCAATTCTTCCTGCCTCCTTCCTTCCACCGGTGTCAGGCCCTAAGGTTTTCCCTGCCTCATTCTGCCCCCTCTTGTCTTTCACCTCTTATGCTCCTGACATCATTTTTGCAGCTGCCTCCTGGCGGACCTGAGCGGATACAAGGGGCTCCAGGATTCCTGGCTCCTCGCTGTACTAAATTTAAGAATCAGTTCCAAAATGAAGCAAAACAAAAATAGTTTTGTTGGGATTTTGACAGTAATTGCATTGGATCAATTGCTCAGTCGCAAAACTGACATCTTTATATTAATGACACTGAGTCTCTCAATCACAAACATGCTACTTCTCTCCATTTATTTAGGGGTTCTTTAACCCTTTTTCCCATTTGTCCTGAGAATACTCACCGGCAGTGCTTACAGCTGCAGCGTTTACCCCGAGATAACTTTGCCACGAAATATCTCGCTTTTATGATTATTTTCACATCGCTCTAGTATATCGACTTTAGAAACAAAAGACATCATTCTATTTATAGCATTCTGTCTTTAGTAGTGGTATTTCCATTTACAAAACATAGTAATTCTTGATCGCTGAAAATGTCAAATCCTGGAAAATGTAGTATTCCTACACGTGATGTTAACATCGTTCTCAACAGTTAGCCGAAGATTCATTCGATGAGTCCGATTTTTCTGAAAGAGATGATTCTGATGATTCAGATGATTCTGATGTTAGTTCTGTTTAGAAATAACTCCAAGAATAGTTTTTATATTTTATTTTCACATTGAAAATCAGTAAGATTTGCTTCAGCCTCCAAGAGTGTGTTTACGTAAAATTAAATGAGCGCTGGCAGTGAGCTGCACTTTTTTTTTCTAAATGGGAAAAGGGTTAAACTCTGCTTCTTACAATAAAGCTTTGTAATTTTCTCCAAAAAGGTCTTGCATATTTTTATTAGATTTATTTCTAGAAACTTTATATTTTTAGTTATGATTAAATATTATATATATTTAAAATTCCATTTTCTTTTTTAAAATTTATTTTTATAGAGACAGGGTCTTACACTATGTTGCCCAGGCTGGTCTTGAACTCCTAGGACTCAAGCAATCCTCCCTCCTTGGCCTCCCAAAGTGCTGGGATTACAGTTGTGAGCCACTGCACTCAGCCTAAAATTCTATTTTTTAATTCTGTTGCTGGTACTTAGAAAAACTTAAATGTTGATGTTTTAGCTCGCAAATTTGCTAAACTCTTAATTCTAATAATCTGCTTATAGATGATATTGGATTTCCATACATACAATCATCTAACCTTTAAAGAATGACAGTTTTGTTTCTTCCATATGCCTTTTTTTCATGCTTTTTCATTTTCCTTGCTTTACTGTGTTGACACTTTCAGTACAATGTTGAATACAAGTAGTAATAGCAGGCACTCTTGTTCTTGATTTTAAAAGAGACACTTCTAATATTTCACTATTAACTAATGTTTACTGAGGGATTTTTGTATATACCTTTTATCAATTCAAGGGACTCAGCTAGGCAAGGTGGCACACACCTGTAATCACAGCTACTTTGGAGGCTGAGGTGGAGGCTCACTGGAACCCAGGAGTTCGAGGCTGCAGTGAGTTATGATGCCACTGCACTCCAGCCTGGGCAACGGAGCGAGACCTTGTCTCTAAAAATAAAACAGCAAATATGTATTTTAAAAACCAGCCTAAAACTGTCATTTTAACTGGAGTCCTCAGTCCCTTTGCATGTAATGTAATGATTGGTGTGGATGGAGTTAAATACACCATCTCCTCTGTGCTTTGGATCTGTCCTGCTGTATTCGGTTCTTTTAAATTTAAAAATCAGCCCACCATTTTCCTGTTTCATTTTAAAGTTATGCCCCTTTTCTATCCTTGAGTGGTTAAGAAATCAAAAGGTGCAGACCCTTTATCAATGTCTAATGTTGATACTTTTCCCCTTCTCCCGGACAATGCAAGGACCTTAGCACACTAATTCTTCTGCTCCTAATGTCAAATTATATGCTTTTCTTGCCACGTATTCTAAGTCTGTGAGAGGGTGTGTGTGTGTGTGTGTGTGTGTGTTGTTCCCTTCTTTGTATCCAGGAGTTCTCATCATTTAGCTCCCACTTATAAGTGAAAACATGCAGTATCTGGTTTTCTGTTCCTATGTTAGTTTGCTAAGGATAATAGCGTCCAGCTCCATCCATGTCCCTGGCAAAGGTATGATCTTGTTCCTTATATTTTATTTTTTATTTTTTAGAGATGGAGTCGCCCAGGCGGGAGTGCAATGGCGCGATCTCAGCTCACTGCAACCTCCACCTCCTGGGTTCCAGCAATTCTCCTGCCTCGGCCTCCTGAGTAGCTGGCACTACAGGCACGCACCACCATGCCCAGCTAATTTTTTGTATTTTAATAGAGATGGGGTTTCACCGTGTTGCCCAGGCTGGTCTTGACCTCCTGAGCGCGGGCAATCCACCCACCTCGGCCTCGCAAAGTGCTAGGATCACAGGCATGAGCCACCACGCCCAGTCAGTCTTGTTCCTTTTTATGGCTGTATAGTATTCCCTGGTGTGTATGTACCACATTTTTTTAATCCAGTCTGTCACTGATGGGCAGTGCTGCAACGAACATACGCGTGCATGTGTCTTTATAACAATGATTTCTATTCCTTTGGGTATATACCCAGTAATGAGATTGCTGGGTTGAATGGTATCTCTGTCTTTATCCCCACACTGTCTTCCACAATGGCTGAACTAATTTAATTTACATTTCCACCAACAGTGTATAAGCATATCTTTTTCTCCACAACCTCACCAGCATCTGTTATTTTCTGACATTTTTATAATAGCCATTTGGACTGGTGTGAGATGGTATCTCGTTGTTGTTTCGATTTGCATTTCTCTAATGATCAGTGATGCTGGGCTTTTTTCCATAGGATTGTTGGCCACAGATGTCTTCTTTTGAAAAGTGTCTGTTCATGTCCTTTGCCCACTTTTTAATGGGGTGGTTTTTTCTTCTAAATTTGTTTAAATTACGTATAGATGCTGGATTTCAGACCTTTCTCAGATGCATAGTTTGCAACAATTTTCTCCCATTCTGTAAGCTGTCTGTTTACTCTCTTGATAGTTTCTTTTGCTGTGCAGCTCTTTAGTTTAATTAGATCCCATTTGTGAATTTTTGCTTCTGTTGCAATTGTTTTTGGCGTCTTCGTCATGAAATCTTTGCCTGTGCCTATGTCCTGAATGGTACTGCCTGGGTTGTCTTCCAGGATTTTTACTGTTTTGGGTTTTACATTAAGTCTTTAATCCATCTTGAGTTAATTTTTGTATATGGCATAAGGAAGGCGTCCATTTTCAATCTTTTCCATATGGCTGGCCAGTTATCCCAGCACGATTTATTGAATAGAGAATCCATTGCCCATTGCTTGTTTTTGTCAGGTTCATCGAAGATCAAAAAAATTATAGGTGTGTGGTCTCATTTCTAAATTCTCTATTCTGTTCCATCAGTCTACGTGTGTTTTTGTGCCAGTACTATGCTGTTTTGGTTACTGTAGCCTTGTAGTATAGTTTGAAGCTGGGTAGCGTGATGCCTCCAGCTTTGTTCTTTTTGCTTAGGATTGCCTTACTATCAATATTTCTTTAGATTTACTCAAGTACTTACCATTTACTCATTATTACTTCTTACCTCTCAGATTTACTTTCTGAGATAATCTTTTAAAAGTTCCTTTGTGAAGAAATATTGGTGGTAAATTAATACAAAGTTTAATTGCTAAAATCACTTTGATTCAACAGCCTAGAAACAGAATAGTCTTTACTTTTACTGTGCTAGTTTAACAAATCCATTCTGTAAAGAAATACTGTTAATTCCCCTAGAGTTTAAAACTTTAGGGCTGGGCACGGGCCTGTAATCCTAGCACTTTGGGAGGCCGAGGTGGGTGGATCACTTGAGGTCAGGAGTTCGAGACCAGCCTGGCCAACATGGTGAAACCCCGTCTCTATTAAAAATACAAAAATTAGCCAGGCGTGGTGGTGGGTGCCTGTAATCCCAGCTACCTGGGAGGCTGAGGTGGAAGAATCACTTGAACCCAAGAGGCAGAGGCTGCAGCGGGCCGAGATTGTGCCACTGCACTCCAGCAGCCTGGGAGACAGAGTAAGACTGTTTCAAAAAGAAAAAAAAAAAAAAAGAAAACTTTTGGCCACGAGCAGTGGCTCACGCCTGTAATCCCTGCACTCTAGGAGGCACACATAGGAGGATCCCTTGAGGCCAGGAGTTCAAGGCTGCAGTGAGCCATGATTGTGCCACTGCACTCCAGCCTGGGAGACAGAGCAAGACTCTGTCTTAAGAAAAATTTTAAGGCTTGCGTAGTACCCTGCAAAAGACTATTTTATGATGTATATCAACAAAATTCAACCCCACTTTCTCCAATAATAAAAAAATGTTTTTTTAAACTGTTACTTTTTAAACAACGTGAAACTAATGAAAATTGGTTGCTGCTTTGAGAATCATCTTGTTTGGAGAAAAACATCCTGTGCTTCACCAGTTGCTGCCATGCCTTACAGAGATAAGGTCTGTAGTCTATGTCCACATCACACAGTCGTCGAGAGGCATGAGAAGGTTCTTCTGATGAGCTCGAGGCTTTCTGCATTATAGTTTGTGTCGTTGCAAAAAGAACCAGGCGATAGTCATTTACAAGCTTCTCTAAGCACTGAGAACATTTCCTCAGAGTAGACTCCTGTAAGTTCACACTTTCTCCTCCATTGACGCGGTCTATCCAGTAAAAAGCTGACAGGCTATCCAAAATCAAAAGGCAGAGAGATGGGTGACTACAAAACATACTTTCTAGTGAGTAAAGTGTAAGAAGTAAGTGGGTGCTACTACTGCAGTACACCAAAAAAAATCTTCCCAGGCAGTATTTGATTATTTCTTCAGAGCTTTGGGATAGTCTGTGCTCAAGAATTGTAACTAGCCGGAGCATATCAAAGTGGTAATCTGTATCAATAAATAAGACTTCTACTTCCAGGCCACCTTCTGATTTGGGAAGTATACATCGTGCTGTTAGGTGATAAAGCATTTCTGTTTTTCCTGTTCCTTCTGGGCCATGAAATTCAAGAATATCACCTGTGTAAAATTTAAAAATCTCAGTCAAAATGCAGTAGCTCAAGGGTAGGTTACAAAATGCAAAGTCTGCAAAAAAGTTTAAAAAGACACTTACTGGAATGTGAAAGAAAATCTAAATTCACTTTTGCCAAAATGGAGCTGTACAAGCAAATACAATAAATAAGGAAATTAGAGCCTGGTGGGAAGGTTGGAAGAGGCTAGGGGACTCTCCTCCGGCCAGGCTCACATGCACTCCCACTTCAATTTGTAAGATTCAAAAATAAAGAGCCACAGATCTAGGGCCTTTCCAAAATCTGATGACTACAGTACACACCCTTTCTGGTAGTTGATTACACTATATCCATTCTTCCCTTCTTCCTAAAGTATAAAACCCAATTTGATGGGGAGGGAAATGTGTCCACTTTAAAACTATTTTTCATAGTCTCCTTTGAAAAGCAAGGTTACCAGGTAACACAGCTGTCGCCAGTGAGATGCAGGCTGCTCTCTGTTGATGATTCTTTCCTATCCAGGGACCCCTTCTGCCCTGCCGCACCCTCCTGTGGGGGTGGAGCAGCCATCTGGAAGCAGTGAGGATGAAACCCACCCTTAGGATGGTGGCGTGGAAGACAGAAGGTACCCAGGACTCTGGGCACACGGAGCCCCCACCAGCCACGCACAGCCTGCCTCTGTGCCACTCAGGATGTGAGGAAAACAAGCCTCCACCTGGGCAAGCCACTAAGTTGGACTTCTATGACACGCAGGTGAAGGCACTCCCTAATTAGGTTTCTCAGTGTTATTGATGTTATGGGGGGAACAATTCTGGATTTTGTGGTTTCACACATTATTGAGGCAAGAGCCCATGGCTCTCAGACCCTAAATGCCAACAGCATCCTTCAACTGAAAACAACCTTACACGTTCCCAAACTGCCTTCAGTTATTCTTTGCTATTTGAATTATCTCTGGAAACCATGTCCAGCTGCATTAGAAATTATTTTCCTAGCATTAAAAATCAAAGTCAACTACTCTGAACGTTAAAGACTCCAACTCTCCTTCTATCTAGGCTCGAATAACTAAGGACAGCACAAGTTAAATCAAACAACACTGGGGAAGTTGCCTTGCTTCCAGAGCTTTTCAAAATGCACTCACAGTGGCATTCAACTCTTGCTTGTCATTATTAATTTACGGCTGAACTACCTGATTGGAAACACTATGTTAAAATGCCAATTATTAGCCCCAACCAAATGATGGTCTAAATACGGATTCAAGGGCTGGGCGCAGTGGCTCACGCCTGTAATCCCAGCACTTTGGGAGGCAGAGGCGGGAGGATCACCTGAGGTCAGGAATTCAAGACCAGCCTGGCCAACATACTGAAACCCTACTAAAAATACAAAAAATTAGCTGGGCATGGTGGTGGGCACCTGTAATCCCAGCTACTTGAGAGGCTGAGGCAGGAGAATCACTTGAACCTGGGAGACAGAGGTTGCAGTGAGCTGAGATCACGCCATTGGACTCCAGCCTGGGCGACAAGAGCGAAACTCCGTCTCAAAAAACAAAAACAAAAACACAAAAAAATGCAATTACTTTATTTCTTATTATTTAATTTTAATTTTTTTTTGAGATGGAGTCTTGTTCTGTTGCCTAGGCTGGAGTGCAGTGGTTCAATCTTGGCTTACTGCAACTTTCGCCTCCTGGGTTCAAGCAATTCTCCTGCCTCAGCCTCCCGAGTAGCTGGGATTACAGGCGTGCGCTACCGCGCCCAGCTAATTTTTGTATTTTTGGTAGAGATGGGGTTTTGCCATGTTGGCCAGGCTGGTCTCGAACTCCTGACCTCAGGTGATCTACCCACCTCGGCCTCCCAAAGTGCTGGGATTACAGGTGTGAACCACCGCACCTGGCCTTTCTTATTATTATCAACAAACCGTTGTATATTGGAGTATTCACAAATAATGTATAAGAAATCTAGGCTGGGTACAGTAGCTCATGCCTGTAACTCCCAGCACTTTGGGAGGTCAAGGCAGGAGGATCACTTGAGCCCAAGAGTTCAATATCAGCCTGGTCAATATAGTGAGACCCCAACTCTACAATTAAAAAAAAAAAAAAAAAGCCACCCATGGTGGTGTGCATCAGTAGTCCCAGCTAATTGGGAAGCTGAGGTTGGAGAATCAGTTGAACCCAGGAGGTAGAGGCTGCAGTGAGCCAAGACTGCACCAAATTTCCACCATAATCTTACATACAACTTGCAATTCTAAATTTACCTTAAGAAGAAATTTAAAAAATGATTCCACCTCAGCCTCTCAAGTAGTTGGGACTACAGGCATGTGTCATCATGCCTGGCTAATTTTTGTATTTCTTGTAAAGACTGGGTTCCACCATGTTGCCCAGGCTGGTCTTGAACTCCTGGGCTCAAGTGGTCTGCCTGCCTCAGCCTCCCAAAGTGCTGGGATTACAGGCATGAGCCACCATGCCTGGCTTCAGCTTTCTTATAGCATAGTATGTTATCAGTTCTCATAGACTTCTCTTTTGTATTTAAGAATTCTACACATGGCTGGGCATAGTGGCTCACATCTGTAATCCAGCACTTTGGAAGCTGAAGTGGGAGGATCACTTGAGCCCAGGAGTTCATGACGAGCCTGGGCAACATAGGGAGACCCTGCCTTTACAAAAAATTAAAAAAAAGAAATAGCCGGGCGTGGTAGCATGTGCCTACAGTCCCAGTCTCAGCTACTCAGGGTGAAGTGGGAGCCTGTGAGGTTGAGGCTACGGTGAGCCATGATCATGCCACTGCACTCTAGCCCAGACAACAGAGGGAGACCCTGTCTCTAAAAAGAAAAGAAAAGAAAAAAAAAAAGATTCTAGGCTCAAGGAGTAAAACTATTTTCATATTAACAATTGTCCATCTAATTAAAAGTTAACATAGCAACTAAACCTGTATTCCACCCAGATGTTCAGTGTGCCCTCTCTTACTATGTTACTGAGGAGCTATGCTGAACCCGCCACTCCTGCCAAGCATCTTTTACTGCCCTATGTGATAGAGAACAAGGGACCATGCAGAAGCGCAGACGGGGAAACCAAGAAGCAGACCACAGCAAATCCTCCCTCTCCTGCTCCCATAGAGGCAGCCAGAGAGGCCGACCCACAGCTACTCACCTTTCTAGAGTACTGCATGCCTTAAAGAGGCTGCTTCAGACATATCCTGTTTGCTCCTAATAACACTGAGGTAGGGAAAGCAAACTCTATCATCTCCCATCATCACACAGATCACACTATATAATCACTATTTACTTGATTACATTTCCTGCTAGCTTCTCTAAGGTTGGGACTTGAGTATTCTGTCCCCAGCACAAAACCCAGGATCTTCTGAATGTGCTTCATCAGTTACCTTCTTCTCAAGATCCTCTTGAGAGACATCTAAAGAATAAAAATATAAGTCTTGGTTTGTGAGGGTTAAGGGCCTAAAAGCCAATTGTGAAACTGGCATTTTAAATGGAAGCGGGTCTGGTAGGGAATGACAGGTGGAGTGTGTGGCTTTGGTGGCAGAGTTCAGCAGGTAAGAAAGTCCTAGACCAGGGTTGACACAGGGACCAACATAGGAGGCAAAGCAAGAGGAGCAAACTGCCAGGTGTGGAGCCTGCTGCCCAGAGACCACAGGGTGCTCACACTTAGCGTGGTGAGGGCCTCAGTTCTGCAGGTGATATGGTTAGGCTGTGTCCCCACCCAAATCTCATTTGAAATCCCACGTATTGTGGGAGGGACCCAGTGGGGGTAATTGAATCATGGGGGCGGGTCTTTCCTGTGCTGTTCTCGTGATAGTGAGTAAGTCTCATGGGATCTGATGCTTATTATAAGGGAGAATTTTCCTGTACAAGCTCTCTTTGCTTGCTGCCATCCACGTAGGATGGGACTTGTTCCTCCTTGCCTTCTGCAATGATTGTGAGGCTTCCCCAGCCACATGGAACTGTAAGTCCAATTAAACCTCTTTCTTTTGTAAATTGCCCAGTCTTGGGTATGTCTTTATCAGCAGCGTAAAAATGGACTAATACAGCAGGTAAACCTAATGTGGTGACTTAAAAGTTCTCAAAGATAGGCTTGGAAGTACCTGCACAAATCAAATACAGACATAAAGTAGACTTTTTTTGAGACAGGGTCTCATTCTGTCGCCCAGGCAAGAGTGTAGTGGCGTGACCTCAGCTCACTGCAACCTCCGCCTCCCAGGCTCAAGCCATCCTCCCACCTCCGCCTCCTGAGTAGCTGGGACCACAGGTGTGTGCCACCACACCTGGGTAATTTTTGTATTTTTTTTGTAGAGATGGAGTCTTGCTGAGTTGCCCAGGGTGGTCTCAAACCCCTGGGTTCAAGTGATCCACCTACCTCAGCCTCCCAAAGTGCTAGACTTATAGGCATGCACCACCACACCCAACCCAAAGTAGAAATTTTTAGTTCACATAATTCACATTGAGTATTCCAGCAAAAATTTAGCTTTCAAAATGGTATGGGTTTTTTAAAATGTTATCTCTAGGTGTCACAAAATGAAAATGTCCTACAGCCACTAAAATTTAAGATTCAAGATGGTAAGCCGGGCGCGGTGGCTCACGCCTGTAATCCCAGTACTTTGGGAGGCTGAGGCAGGTGGATCACCTGAGGTCAGGAGTTCAAGACCAGCCTGGCCAACATGAAGAAACCCTGCTTCTACTAAAAATATAAAAATTAGCTGGGCATGGTGGCACGTGCCTGTAATCCCAGCTACTTGGGAGGCTGAGGCAGGAGAACTGCTTGAACCTGGGAGGCAGAGGGTTGCAGTGAGCCCAGATTGCGCCATTGCACTTCAGCCTGGGCAACAGGAGTGAAACTCCATCTCAAAAAAAAAAAAAAAAAAAGATTCAAGATGGTAGGTAATAAGGGGCTGGTTATAGCAGACTGGGAGTAATCCACACAGAAATAATAGAGAAAAAACAAAAATCTCTTTGATGGGTGGGTATTATGGACCTAAAATTAAGGCCAAAACTAAATTTTTGAGATATATCCACAGTTAGAAGACGCATTAGAAGACAGCTAAAACAGAAATTTAATAGGAAAACCAGGAAGAAAAACATTACAGGGCAAAAGAGAATGTTTCAAGAAAATGAAACTACTAAATAATAAATATAGCAGAAAAGTCATGACAATGAAAAACAGCAGGGAAAAGATCACTGAGTTTGTCCAAAATAGTGACCTTGGAGCATTAATTGTGTAGTCCGCAAAAGCACATTTAACATCTCATTTTGTGAACCAAACTTTTAAAACTGAGATACTCAGAAGACAGGAGACAACGGCACTAGCCTAGGCATTCACTGCTTCTAGAGTAACAGCAAGGACAGAGTGGATTCCCGACGAGTGAAACTGAGGCAAAGAAGTTGAAGGTTAAATCCCTGCCTAAGAGATACTCTTTTTCTTTTACACATTAATAGCAAAGCAGGTATAAAAAAGGCTTTTATAACAACCGGGAAGACACTGCAAACTTGCAAGAGACACATGAATTATCATTAAGGTCCTTGAACTAAATTCCTCACAAATATGTTTAATGATGAACTGAAATCAGTTTTACTGATTTTATAAACATTTACTGTTTGATCCTCAAGATCAAAACCTGTAATCAAATATTATGTCCTACAGAAGGGACATCATCCTTTTCAATGTACTTGAAGTCACCGTCTCATATGTTTCTGTGGCTGCTACAGCATCCTTGTCCAGCCAAATTATGGAACGTGACAACTCGCAGTAAAAAAATCCCTAAGGTTTGGCACTTGAAGATATTAAACTAAATCAGAAAATCTGGATGATTTGGCCTTGACAGTTCCTCTTACAAATAGAACGCTGTAAGGAGTTTGGGTAACAGATTGTCAGAAAGAGTTCTGAATCTAAAGATCCTTCAAAATAAGGAAAAGAAAGGAAAAGCCAAAAAAGCTATCATCTTGGTACCAGCCTACCAATTATATAACAAATATGTTGAATTTGCAGATTATAATCATTATAGAAGTAAAGAAGTAATGAATTGGTACATGGTACTGAATAACTCCTATCCAAAAAAGCATTAAAAATATGTTTACAGGTTGGGCGTGGTGGTTCACGCCCATAATCCCAGCACTTTGGGAGGCTGAGGTGGGCAGATGGCTTGAGCCCAGGAGTTCAAGACCATCCTGGGCAACATGGCAAAACTCCATCTCTACAAAATACACAAAAATTAGTCTGGTGTGGTGGCACACATCTGTGGTCCCAGCTATTCAGGAGGCAGAGGTGCGAGGATCACCTGAGCCCGGGGGTTGGTCGAGGCTGCAGCGAGCCGTCACGGCGCCACTGCACTCCAGCCTGGGCAACAAGAGTGAGACCCTGTCTCAAAAAGAAAAGTTTGGCACTGGGCACAATGGCTCATGCCTGTAATCTCAGCACTTTGGGAGGCTGACACAGGTGGATCACTTGAGGTCAGGAGTTCAAGACCAGCCTGGCCAACATGTTGGAACCCTGTCTCTACTAAAAATACAAAAAATTTGCTGGGCATGGTAGCATCTGCCTGTAATTCCAGCTATTTGGGAGGCTGAGGTTGCAGTGAGCCGAGATCGAGCTGCACTCCAGCCTGGGTGACAGAGTGAGACTCTGTGTCAAAACAAAACAAAACAAAAATAAAAATAAATGTTTGGATGAGAACACATGGACACAGGGAGGGGAACAACAGACACCGGGGCCTGCTGAAGGCATGAGGGGAGGGAGCGCGTCAGGACAAATAGCCAGGACAAGTAACCTAGGTGATGGGTTGATAGGCGCAGCCAACCACCATGGCACGCGTTTATCTATATAACAAACCTTCACGTTCTACACATGTATCCTAGAATTTAAAATTAAATTAAAATAAATTTTAAAAAATGTTCGGATGGGTGCAGTGGCTCACACCTGTAATCCCAGCATTTTGGGAGGCCAAGGTGGGTGGATTCCCTGAGGTTGGGTGTTCGAGACCAGCCTGGCCAATATGGTGAAACCCCATCTCTACTAAAAATACAGATGAGACAGAGCAAGACTCTATCTCAAAAAAAAAGTTTACAATGGCATTGAGACTCTATAACCCCTAAATCTTACTACTTCAACTTAAGCTTTTCTGTAACAAGCTCTGATAAACTTCTATTGTTGATAAATAATCTTTATAATCCCAGTCTTCTATCTGCTATTGTTCCAATGGAATACTCATCTAACTAGTTTTACAGCTATAGGATCTTCAGTAGTTTTCAGTAAACTTTTTTGTTAGTTACTGAACATGATGGTGTTTTTCAACGTTTCTATAATATAATATTCTAATGTAGAAGTTGTTCCACAAACCCATTTTAACATATTGTCAGTTTCATAAGGCTCACCTTAATAATATCCTTCCTTACAGAGAGAGTACAAAGACCATTCTGTTTTTTGTCTTACATATTTGATCAAAATTTGTGTTTTATTATGGAGAATTTTGGTTAGCAAATCTGCTGTACAAAAAATACTAAAGGGAGTCCTGCAGGCTGAATGAAAGGACACAGTTCCTGAAATCCAAATGAGAAAATAAAGAGCACAGGGAAATGTAACTATCTAGGCAAATATAAAAGACAGTACAGGCCAGGTATGGTGGCTCACCTCTGTAATCCCAACACTTTGGGAGGCCAAGGTGGGCGAATCACCTGAGGTCAGGAGTTCAAGAGCAGCCTGGCCAACGTGGTGAAACCCCGTCTCTACTAAAAACAAAAAATTAGCCAGGTGTGGTAGCACACACCTGTAGTCCCAGGTACTGGGGAGGCTGAGGCAGGAGAATCACTTGAACCCAGGAGGAGGAGGTTGCAGTGAGCCGAGATCACACCACTTCACTCCATCCTGGGCGACAGAGTGAGACTCCATCTAAAAAAAAAAAAAAGATAGTATAAACGTGTTTTTGTATTTGTAACTGTTTTTTCATCTATCTGATTTAAGAAGGAAGTTGTTTTTGCGACAGTCTTGCTCTGTTGCCCAGGCTGGAGTGCAGTGGTGCAATCTCGGCTCACTGCAACCTCTGCCTCCCAGGTCCAAGCAATTCTCCTGTCTCAGCCCCCCGAGTAGCTGGGATTACAGGCACCCGCCATCATGCCCAGCTAATTTTTGTAGAGATGAGGTTTCACCATGTTGGCCAGGCTGGCCTTGAACTTCTGACCTCAGGTGATCCACAGACCTCAGCCTCCCAAAGTGCTGGATTACAGGTGTGAGCCACCGCACCTGGCCAGAAAGTATTCTTAAGTGATCATTTTAATTACTTTAATTCAGTAATAATATTAAATGTGCTGATGACCATACAATGTATAAAGATGTAGGGAATACCTATACAGTAAACAAAGCTTTTTACAAAATATGGAAATTAAGTTTGTATTAATCCAACTAGACTGTTAGAAATTATGATCTTACTTGTAATCCCAGGGCAATCACTAGAAAAATAATTCAGAAAAATATAGTGAAAACAATGACAAGGGAATTAAAATGGTACATTAGAAAATATTTAACACAAAAGAAAACAGTAAAGGAGAAAGAAACAGAAAAGACATAAGACATATATAAAAAACAGACAGCAAAATGCAATCATAAACTTTTTGTCTTTGTTTTTTTTTTTCTTTTTCTTTTTGAGACGGAGTCTTGCTCTGTCACCCAGGCTGGAGTGAAGTGGCGCAATCTCGGCTCATTGCAACTTCCACCTCCCAGGTTCAAGTGATTCTCCTGTCTTGACCTCTCAAGTAGCTGGGATTACAGGCATGAGCCATCACACCTGGGTAATTTTTCTTTTTCTTTTTCTTTTTTTTTTTTGAGGCGGAGTCTCACTCTGTCGCCCAGGCTGGAGTGCAGTGGCACAATCTTGGCTCACTGCAAGCTCACTGAATCCCTCCCGGGTTCATGCCATTCTCCTGCCTCAGCCTCCCGAGTAGCTGGGACTGCAGGCGCCTGCCACCACGCCTGGCTAATTTTTTCTATTTTTAGTAGAGACGGGGTTTCACCATGTCGGCCAGGCTGGTCTCCAACTCCAGACCTCAGGTGATCCACCTACCTTGGCCTCCCAAAGTGCTGGGATTACAGGTGTGAGCCACCGTGCCTGGTCCCTACTTTAACCATTTTTAAGTGTACAGCTCAGCAGTGTGAAGTACATTGACATTGCTGCAAAGCAATGAAGCAGAACTCCACAACTTTTCCATCTTGCAAAACTCCCATTTTGCACCCATTAAACAATGACTCCCTTCCCCCGCCTCCCCAGCTCCTGGTAACTACCATTTTACTTTCTTTTCTGTGAATTTAACTACCTTAGAAACTGCATATAAGTGGAATCAAGCAGTTTGTCTTTTTGTGTCTGGCCTATTTCATTTACCAATGTCCTCAAGGTTCATCCACGTTGTAGCACGTGACAGAATTCTCTTCCTTTGTAAGGCTGAATAATATCAACTGCATGTATATATCACATTTTGTATACACCACTCAACCATTGATGGATACTTTTCCCCCCAGGGATTCATTATAAGCACATTGATGGACATTTAGGTTGGTTTTACCTCTTAGCTATTGTGAATAGTGCTGCTATAAACAAGAGTGTGCAAATATTTCTCCAAGATCCTACTTTCAATTCTTTTGGATGAATACCCAGAAGTGAGATTATGTGATCATATGGTAGCTCTATTTTTAATTGTTTGAGGAACCTCCATACTGTTTTCCATAATGGTCGCACCATTTTACAATCTTACCAACAGTGCAAAAGGGTTACAATTTCTCCACATCCTTGCTAACACTTGCTATTTCCTGTTTTTTTTTTGATAGTAGCCTTCCTAATGGATGTGAGGTGACAAAGAAGAACATTTTATAATGATAAATGGGTCAGCCAGCAATAAGACAAAATAAAAAGTTATATGTGCTTAACAATACATGAAGCCCCAAAATACAAAAGCAAAAAATGATAAAACTCAGGAGAGAAACAGACAATTCAACAATAACAGTTGGATACTTCATTTTTAGTAGAGATGGGGGTTTCACCATATTGGCCAGGCTGGTCTCAAACTCCTGACCTCGTGATCTGCCTGCCTAAGACTCCTAAAGTGCTGGGATTACAGGTGTGAGCCACTGCGCTCGGCTATAACCTGATTTTTTAAATGAGCAAAGGATCTGACGTTTCTTCAAAGATATACAATTTGCCAATAAGCCTGTGCAAAGATACCCAACATCATTGGCCGTGAGGACAATGTAAATCAAAAACCACAAAGAGATAACACTTCATACTGACTAGGATGGCTATTATCAAAAAGACAGACAATAACAATTATTCCCAGAATATGGGAATTGCTGGCAATGCAATGATGGTGCAAGTAAAATGTGAAGCTCCTTTGGAAAACAGTCTGGCAGTTTCTCAAAAGGTTAAATGTAGAATTGCCATATGACCTAGCAATGCCTATCCTAGGTATTATCCGATAGAACTGAAGACATCTATCCACAGAAAAACATGTACACAGATAACCACAGCAGCATTATGCACAACAGCCAGCAAATGGAAACAACCCAAATGTCCATCAGCTAACAAATGGATAAGCAACATGTACACTCATGCAATGAAATATTTAACAAAGAATGAACTACTGATACGTGTTATGAAATGGTGACACTGAATTATACAATTCAGTGCAAATTATTCAAAGTAAAAGAGGCCAGTCACAGAAGATCACATATTACATGATTCCAATTATATGAAATGTCCAGAAAAGGCAAATCCATAGTTAGAAAGTAGATTAGTAGTTGCCTAGAGCTGGGGAACATGGGAGATGATGATTACTAGAAATGAGCTTCTTTACGGGGAGATAAAATGCTCTAAAGTCAGCTGTGGTAACGGTTGCACAACTGTGTAATAACCTAAAAATCACTTAACTGCACACTTCGGTGGGTGAATTTTATCTCTATGAAGCCGCCACATTAAAAGAAAAAAAATCAACCTAAGCGCACGCCCTTAGTAAGTTTTCCCTGTTGTAGAAATACTAACAAGTGGGTACCCAAGGACTTCCCTACAACTCCGCAAGCTTCTAAAGAAAAGGAATTTCAACATAAACTATAATAACAGGACTTGCATAAATATTGTGTGTTGAGAATAAGACAGAGGTCAAGGCATATTCTGAAGATTTACTGCAGAGAAGCAAACTTGTCTGACACCGATGAGGAAAGCTTAAAAGCTTTCTGTCACAACCTGTGTCTCATTTTCCAATTGTACAGTTTAACCTGTATAAACTCTTGTGAGGAGTATGTGTATACATGTGAGCTTATGTGAAAAATCCTTTTATAAAGATTTGCATTTATTTATATAAAGGTTGTATTTTTTACCATGCACAGGTGAATCTTCATCAGCAAACAGATTTGGTTCTATTTCTTTCAAGGAACTTCTACCTTCAAGTCGGGCAAGGAGCTTATAAAAGAAGAGAGAAGGAAAACTCATTATTTAAAAATATAAAATCCTAGACATCTATATTTATACCATTTTCCGAAAGTCTGTAAGATTTCATAACTTTAGGCTGGGTGCTGTGGCTCACACCTGTAATCCCAATACTTTGGGAGGCCAAGGTGGGCAGATCGCTTGAGTCCAGTTTCAGACCAGCCTGGGCGACATGGTGAAACCTGACTCTACAAAAAATACAAAAATTATCTGGGCATGGTGGCACACACTGTAATCCCAGCTACTGAGGAGGCTGAGGTGGGAAGATCACTTGAGTCAAAGAGGCAGAGGTTGCAGCCTGGGTGACAGAGTGAGGCCCTATCTCAAAAAAAATTTTTTTCATAATTTTGTGGATTTGGAAGAAAATATGAAATAGGAAATATAGTTTAGGAGAAATGTTGTGTTTACTTATTTTTCAGATATTTTACTTTTTGTTTATCTACCAAATACTGACAGTATAAAATGAGTCTGTACCCTCAAAGGAATGGATAGTCTAGTTTAGGATATAAGACAAACTGCTATGGCAAAATTTTTACCTTCCTTGTAATTAACTTTCACACAGTTAATTCTTACCACACTTGTTACACAGTTATCTGCCTTCATTTGTCTGCCCCATTCATTGTGAGCTCTTTATTTCACTGGGGAAGGGGACAAAGGAGAAAGGTGGAGGAGAACTTCCTTGAGGAGCCACCACCTGGGCTCTCTCCTAAGTAAGACTGCCAGGTGAATGGGGCACAGGCAGGCCTAGTAGACCTGCTAACAGAAACAGGAGCAGCCACAGTGCAGAGGTTATAAATAGCATTGTGCATAGGGACACTGTGAGCAGCTTTGAACTCCTAGATACTGTAACAGCACCAAACAGGCAGGACCCAGGGAAGCCCTACAAGAGAGCAGAAGTCAGAGCATGGAAGGGCTCAGACGCCATGTTTGGGAGCTTATCTTTGGCTTGTAGACAACAGCCAACAGGTGTGACACTAAGCACTGAGAAGTATTTAGAACATAGTTAAGAGTAGACATTTGGGACCCCAGAGCCAGACCTGCTAGGTCACTGAGGTCCTTAGGCTTCTCATCTGTCAAGTGAGGATAACAAACAGCACCCTCCCTCATAAGGCTGATGAGGATTAAATATGTGAAAAGAGTACCTGGCATATTATCCACTTCTTTTTCTTTTTTGAGGCGGAGTCTTGCCCTGTCGCCCAGGCTGGAGTTCAGTGGTGCGATCTCTGCTCACTGTAACCTCTGCCTTCTGGGCTCAAGTGATTCTCCTGCCTCAGCCTCCTGAGTAGCTGGGATTACAGGCACCCACCACCACGCCCGGCTAATTTTTGTATTTTTAGTAGAGACAAGGTTTCACCATGTTGGGGCAGGCTGGTTTCAAACTCCTGACCTCAAATGATCCGCTCCCATCGGCCTCCCAATCTGCTGGGATTACAGGCGTGAGCCACCGCGCCCAGCCTATCTGCATTTCAAACAGATCATCTTGGTGGTTACTAGGGGACAGATGTGAGGAGAGTTAAAACCATACGTGGAGAGAGGGCTGGGGTTTGTCACCCTAGTCTGGAGGAGGAGTGTCTGCACCATGACGGAAGTCATTAGGATCACAGGGGGCAATCTCGGTGAAGGATTTAACTGTCACAAGGGAGACAAAACTGATTCTCAAGTTTCTTGGGAATCAGCACAGATTTGACAACCCTTCTATATGACAAAAGAAAAAAAAATCTATCACAAATGGGAAGAAAGTCACCTTTTATTTGCATTTTTTTTTTTTTTTTTTTTTTTTTGAGACGGAGTCTCGCTCTGTCGCCCAGGCTGGAGTGCAGTGGCGGGATCTCGGCTCACTGCAAGCTCCGCCTCCCGGGTTCACGCCATTCTCCTGCCTCAGCCTCCCAAGTAGCTGGGACTACAGGCGCCCGCCACTACGCCCGGCTAATTTTTTTGTATTTTTAGTAGAGACGGGGTTTCACCATTTTAGCCGGGATGGTCTCGATCTCCTGACCTCGTGATCCGCCCGCCTCGGCCTCCCAAAGTGCTGGGATTACAGGCGTGAGCCACCGCGCCCGGCCTTATTTGCATTTTTTTAAACCAAATCAAGTTGTGGAAAGACTTCCTCAAGTGATGAAAAAGTTCTATGCATTAATTTAACAGGCGTTCGTTGAATTTCTGTTGCGTATGAAGCACTGTGCTAGGTAAAATGTTGACTACAAAGATGAAGATGACAACCTACCCTCAAAGAATGTGCAGTCTCAGTCCTCTAGATGAGATTATGTCATAATACAAGGTAAAGTTACAGGGTGCTTAATTAGAGCAGAGGTTCTGAGGGCATACCCATGGCCAAAACTATTTTCGTAAACAGAAAAAGTAAAAATTAAGATGTTATTTGCCTAGTTTGATACTAAGGTCCTAAAAGCAATAGTGGGTACCTGCTGACAGCTAGCGTAATCAAGGCAGTGGTGTGGAAATGTATTAGCACACATCGCCAAGCACTACCTGCACTCAGGCAGAACAAAACCAGCTTTACGTAAGAATGTCTTTGAAGTAAAAAAAAAAAAAAAAAAAAAAAAAAAGACTGCTTTTACTAAATCATGACCCTTGAGTACACTTTAAAAAATATTCTTTGTGATGACATGAGAAACATACTGTGTAGTGAATAATTTAACCTTGCCCAAAGGGAGGTCTGGTTTTTGTCCTTGGCTCCTGAGAGGTAATTCTAAACCCTTGGAATGTCTTGCCTGATAAAAGTGTCTTTGGGCCGGGCACAGTGGCTCGCGCCTGTAATCCTAGTCCCTCGGGAGGACAAGGCAGGAGGCTCGCTTGAGCCCGGGAGTTTAAGACCAGCCTGGGAAACATGGCGAAACCCTGTCTCTACAAAAAATACAAAAATTGGCTGGGCATGGTGGCATACACCTGTAGTCCCAGCTACTCAGAAGGCTGACAGAAAAGAATCGCTTGAGTCCAGGAGGTCGAGGCTGCAGTGAGTCAAGATTATGCCACTGCACTCCAGCCTGGGCCACAGAGCAAGACCCTGTCCCCCTGCCCCCCCCCCCCAAAAATAGTCTCTGTTTACAAGAGAACTTTGAGCCACACAGCAATGTGATTTATGGTGGGGGCTTTGGGTCATGCAGTGTTAGGCCAACCTGGAAGTGCTGGAAGCTAAGGTCAGCTATGCAGGCGGTTGACTATGTCCACATGGCAGAGCCCCAATAAAACCTTCGGACACCAGAGTCTAGCTGAGATTCCCTGCTTGCCAATATTCTATTGTCACACATTGTTGCTGGGAGAATTTAGCACTGTTGATGACTCCACTGGAAGAGGACAGCTGGAAGCTCTGTACTTGGAACTTCCTGAACTTTGTCCTATTGTGTCTCTTCCCTTGGCTGATTTTAATCTATATCCTTTTGCTGTTGCAAACCATAACCATGAGCATAACAGCTTTCACTGAGTTCTGAGTTCTTCTAGAGACTTATTAAGCCTGAAGGTGGCTGTGATAGTTAATTGTATGTGTCAACTAGATTAAGTTAAGAGATGCCCAAATAGCTGGTAAAGCATTATTTCTGGGTGTGTCATGAGGGTGTTTCTGGAGGACACGAGCATCATCAGTAGACTGATTAAAAAGGATCCATCCTCACTAATGCAGACGGGCATCCTCCAATCCCTCTTTTCTTGAACTGGGACACCCATCTTCTCCTGCCCTCAGATATTGGAGCCCCTGATTCTGGGACTTACCCCAGTGCCGCCTGTCCCCCAACCCTACACCATTCTCGAGCCTTTAAAGCCCTGGACTGGGAGTTCCACCACGGGCTCTCCTGGCTCTCAGCCCTTCAGACTCAGACTGAATTACACCACAGGCTTTCTGGTTCTCCAGCTTGCAGATGGTGTGTCTGGGATTTCCTGGCCTCCATCATCACGCTATTAGAGTAGGTAGACAGACAGGTGTGAGTGGGGCAAGACAGGCCCCAAGGAATGTCCAGGTGGCCTCTTCAGGAATGATAACTGGTTGCAGCTGGCACCAGGGAGGGGAAAATTTCCTAACAGGAAACATCTTGGGCTTACGGGCAACAACTTCCTGATAAGATCCTAGGAATTGAGCAAACATGTCCAGGAATGTGCAGTAGGGAGCAAAATGGTGGAGTGTGACCAGTATATGACCTTTCTCTGGGAGCACTAGACCAGTACGGGAAAATTGCCCTACACGAGCATGCACAGAACTCCAAACACCAAATGGCAGTCGTGGCCCCTTTCAGATGCTGGCAAGTCACTGCACATGAGGCAATTAGCCAGCAGCCCATCCAAGGAGAAGGATGAGAGGAGACCAGGAAGGATCAGGAAATAGGGGCATTCAATATTTCAAGTTGCCCATTTGGTCCCTTCCAAGTGAACGTTACTTCAAAAACCCTTCAGTCCTGCCTTGAATCTACTTCTGTCTTGGCTGAATTCTTTCTTCCAAGAAGACAAGAACTAAGGACTGTGGACCCCAACCAGACTTGCTGCCCTGGTAACAATGTGAGCCAATTTCCATAATAAATTTCCTCTTATATATCTACATGTATCCTATTGGTTGTTGGTTGTGTTTCTCCTCTGGAAAACTGTGCCTAACACATAACTCAGTGAACCATCCAAAAGATGCATGGTGTGAAATCATTCCTGGGTAAAAGATTTCACTCCAACTGTAAGACAAACCTTTTTTTTTTTTTTTTTTTTTTTAGACAGGGTCTTACTCCCGTCACCCAGGTTGGAGTACAATGGCACGATGAGACTCAACCTCCCAGGCTCAAGTGATCCTCCCACCTCGGCCTCCCAAGTAGCTGGACTACAGGCTCGTGCCACTATGTCCAGCTAATTTTTTTTGTTATTTTTAGGAGACAGGGTCTCACTATGTTGCCCAGGCTGGTCTCGAACTCCTGGGCTCAAGTGATCCACCTGCCTTGGCCTCCCAAAGTGCTGGAATTACAGGTGTGAGCTACTGCACCTGGCCAAGGTCTTAAGATTTTATATCCCACATTGTAGTTAGCCTTTAGGAAAACTACTACTTGTCAAGCTTTGGTAACAGTAACCAAGAAGAATATCTATAATTCTGTGAAAAGGTCTTAAAATACTCCTCCCTTTCCCAACGTGACTTTCTCTGAGAGGATGGATGTTCTTCATATACTTTAACCCAACCAACATATGATAACAGACTGCATAAGAACCCAGTTCCATTAAGCCAGATATTAAAAAGATTTGCAAATATGTAAAACAACATCATTTTTCTCAGTTTTTTCTTAGAAAAATACAGCTTTTTTCATAAAAATATGTTTTATAAAAATATTCAATGTGTGTGTCACTGTACATGAATGTAAATATTTTAAAATTTTAAATTTGTTTCATGGACACATATAACATAAAGAAAAGCTCTTTAGATTCTTCAATAATTTTTTTTTTGAGACAGGGTCTTGCTTTGTCACCCAGGCTGGAGTGTGCAGTGATGACATCATGGCTCTCTGCAGCCTTGACCTCTTGGGCCCATGCAATCCTTGCATATCAGCCTCCTGAGTAGCTGGGACCACAGGTGTGTGCCACCAAACCCAGCTAATTTTTTTACTTTTTGCAGAGACAGGGTCTCCCTATGTTGTCCAGGCTGGTCTCGAACTCCTGGACTCAAGCAGTTCTCCCACCTTAGCCTCCCAAAGTGCTGGGATTACAAGCATGAGCCACCATGCCCAGTGGAATCTCCCACTTTTAAATGTGTTACATAGTCCTAAGACTAAAACCTATAAGAACCACTGGGCTACAAGACTGAAAGAGTATAACTCAAAGAAAAATACAGATTCTTTATTTTTTTTTTTTTTTGAGACAGAGTCTCGCTTTGTCACCAAGGCTGGAGTGCAGTGGCACAAGTTCAGCTCACTGCAACCTCTACCTCCTGGGTTGAAGCGATTCTTCTGCCTCAGCCTCCTAAGTAGCTGGAATTACAGGCGTGTGCCACCATGCCTGGCTAATTTTTGTATTTTTAGTAGAGATGGGGTTTCGCCATGTTGGTCAGGCTGGTCTCAAACTCCTGACCTCAGGTGATCCACCCGCCTCAGCCTCCCAAAGTGCTGGGATTACAGGCATGAGCCACTGCGCCCAGCAAGACAGAGAGACTTTCATGGACAAGAAAGAGCACGTGGAAACAACTATAAAATATCTTCAAAGGCATGTATACGAATGAATAACATCCTCATTAGATTAACTTGGGAAGACACTCCAATTGTTTACTCTTACTGTCATTTCTCAAAACACTGTAGAATCCTCACCCCTGAGAAATCCTGGCAAAATAGTACTCAAGAAAGTATTATAGGCCAGGTGCGGTGGCTCACGCCTGTAATCCCAGCACTTTGGGAGTGCCAAGGTGGGCAGATCACCTGAGATTGGGAGTTCGAGACCAGCCTGACCAACATGGTGAAACCCTGTCTCTACTAAAAATACTAAATTAGCCAGGCGTGGTGGCACATGCCTGTAATCCCAGCTACTGGGGAGGCTGAGACGGAAGAATCGCTTGAGTCTGAGGCAGAGGTTGCGGTGAGCCGAGATTACGCCATTGCACTCCAGCCTGGGCAACAAGAGCAAAACTCCGTCTCAAAAAAAAAAAAAAAAAAAAAGAAAAAAAGTATTATAATTTTATTGACGGGACTCTTTTGGGCGAAGATGGTATTACTCCTCTTAGTTACCCACAAGGATTAGGCAATCTGCATCAGACTTTCCACTGTTACTTAGAAAATCAAATTTAATTTCAAAGGAGAAAAACTGTCCACCACTGAGAATATCCAAAGCAACGTTTTACAACGTCAAAGCAGAGTATACTGAATTATAAAGGGGGTGAAAGAACCTCCCAGAAATAGGAAATAGATTTAAATTTACAAGTAATGGATAATATTAACAATTCACAAGCCAAGCAAATTGTTAATATTACAATTAACAATTGTAATTGTTGCTCACACCCATAATCCCAGCACTTTGGGAGTCTGAGGCAGGTGGATCACCTGAGGTCAGGAGTTCCAGACCAGCCTGGCTGACATGGTGAAACCCCCATCTCTATGAAAAATACAAAAAATTAGCTAGGCATGGTGGTGGGCGCCTGTAATCCTAGCTACTCGGGAGGCTGAGGCAGGAGAATCACTTGAACCCAGAAGGTGGAGGTTGCAGTGAGCCGAGATCACACCACTGCACTCTAGCCTAGGAGACAGAACGAGACTCCATCTCAAAAAAAAAAAAAAAGAAACTTCTAAACATAGGCAGAAAATACACTGGTCCCCCCTTATCTGCAGTTTCATTTTCTGTGGTTTCAGTTATAGCCAACCACAGTTCGGAACTATTAAACAGAAACTTCTAGAAATAAATACACAAGTTTTCAATAATTGCATGTCATTCTGAGTTGCATAATAAAATATCGTACCATCCTGTTCTGTCCCACGTGGGACATGAATCATCCCTTTGTCCAGCATATCCATGCTGTACACACTACCTGTTCATTACTGTATGGGAAAAAACATAGTGTATATAGGGTTCACTACTATCTGTGGTTTCAGCATCCATTGGGGGTCTTGGAACATATCCTCCATGGATAAGAAAAGAGGTACTCCAAAAATCTGACATAGGCCTATTACAGAAAATTAAAATTAATGATGTCCAGATTCAAGGAAAGAGTCAATAGAAGCAAGGTATGGTCAACCTGCAGTTTCAGAAGCGAAAGAAGAGTTTGTTAAGTGTCCAGGGTAAAGGGAACCCAAGTAAATTCTGCTTGACATGACAGTTTAATCCTCTTAGGGAAGACTAATACATCAGGCATCAGAGCTTGGTGATGATAGCCATTATGACAAACTGTTTCTCTTAATTCTCTAAGCAACCTTTCCGAGGCAAAATTTCCTAACTAGAAAAGAATACACAGTGGACATAATAATTTTAATCTATTTGACAGTTTCACTAATATTGTGAGTCAATAGATTTGATACTTGGATTGTAAATCAGCATCTGCTAAGTTCTATTATCGTAACAATAGCTATCTAATAATAGTTATTTGAGCTTACTGTGGGATCAGCAGTACATTCTTTATATTATGTCCTTTAATTGTTACATCAACCCTATTTGTTACTATTGTATTTTTCACATGAGAAAACTAGTAAATGTCAGGGCCAGGATTTAATCAAGATCTCTGTGATTCTCAAAGCCTGGAATTTTTCTACTATGCTATACAACCTCAGTATCACTGAGACTAATCAAATATGAGTACAAGGACTAAACTGAGTTTTTGGACCTATTAAACTGAAAATCAGGCCAGGTGCAGTGGTTCACACCTGTCATCCAAGCACTTTGAGAGGCTGAGGCAGGAGTACTTGAGGCCAAGAGTTCAAGACTAGCCTGGGCAACATAGTGAGATCCCACCTCTACAGAAAAATAAAAGTTAAAAATTAAAAAACAGGAGGAAAGCCATCTGAGGTCCTGTCTGGGCGATTATCTGACTTCTTTCAACCATTCCTTTAGTTGAAACTTGAACACTAACAAGGTGTCCCAAATGTCTTCAGCAGCAGCAGCATTGCTGGAGCAAGCATTTAGTCTGCAAAAGAGATAATGCTCAATTATACAGACATTTAATGGTAAACATTTTACAGAGTCTCACTCTGTCGCCCAGGCTGGAGTGCAGAGGCACAATCTCGGCTCACTGCAAGCCCCTGGGTTCAAGCGATTCTCCTGCCTCAGCCTCCTGAGTAGCTGGGATTACAGGCGCCCACCACCAAACCCGGCTATTTTTTCTATTTTTAGTAGAGACGGAGTTTCACCATGTTGGCCAGGCTGGTCTCAAACTCCTGACCTCAAGTGATCTGCCTGCACCGACCTCCCAAAGTGCTGGGATTAGAGGCATGAGCCACCATGCCTGGCCACTTACCGGTGAACATTTCATGCAAGTCAAGTATGTTCCAGGAACTGAGGTAAGTGCTAGGGATATAAAGATGTAGCCAACACAGTTGCTGTTTTCAACAAAACTGATGGGGAGGCCAGGCATCGTGGCTCATGCCTGTAATCCCAGCACTTCGGGAGGCCGAGGTGAAAGGATGCTTGGGCCAAGGCTAGCAACATAGTGTAACCTATTTAAACTAAACAGTCAAAAGGCTGTAAAAAAAAAAAAAAGTACAATAAAGTTAGGCAGGTGCTGTAACAGAAATACACATGGGGCATTGTGAGGGCATAAAAGAGAGTTGGCCAATTCTAATCTGCGTGAGAGTGACTTTTAATTTTGAGTGACAGATTTTAGTACATAGTTCTTTCAGGTAAATATAAATTGTGTACTGAGAGAGAAATGCCTTTTTTCCTTCTACCTGGAATATCTTTAGCCTATTTCCTCCAACTAAATTCCCTACTGAATGAATGAAAATTCTGGGCATTCTTCAAGGTTCCTTCCCTCCATGAAGCTATTACTGTCCTTAAGAACACATTGCTAGCCACTCTCCCTCATCTGGATATAAACATTTAAAAGGAAAGAGATCAATATTGGCTTTGTTACCAATTCCAAAATGCAATGCTTTATGCTTGGCAGAAACTTAATAGCTGCCTAGTAAACTACAGGCAAACAAGGCATGCACAGGCAGAACTGGGAGAAGAATGGGGAGTGTAAAGAACCTCCAACTATTTAGAAGTTCAGGTTTGGATAATTGATGCAAACCTCTATTACACAGAAGTCCGTGAGTACACATCCTTATGACTACCATCAAGGTACAAACAAAACATTGCCCTGTTTTAGGGCATCAGTATATCGCCTATTTAGTAGAATACATATTATATAGGCTTTTTTTTTTTGAGACCAAGTCTCACTCTGTCACCCAGGCTGGAGTGCAGTGGTGTGATCTCAGCTCACTGCAACCTCTGTCTTCCCGGGTTCAAGCAATTATCCTGCCTCAGCCTCCTGAGTTGCTGGGATTACAGGTGTGTGCCACCATGCCCGGTAATTTTTGTATTTTTAGTAGAGACAGGGTTTTGCCATGTTGGTCAGGCTGGTCTCGAACTCAGGTAATCCGCCCACCTCAGCCTCCCAAAGTGCTGGGATTACAGGTGTGAGCCACCACGCCCAGCCCATACAGATGTTTTTAAACATCATTTAGAAAAGCTTACACTAGTCTGGGTGTGATGGCTCATGCCAGTAATTCCAGCACTTTGGGTGGCCAAGGCGGGCAGATCACCTGAGGTCAGGAGTTCGAGACCAGCCTGGCCAATATGGTGAAACCCCATCTCTACTAAAAATACAACAATTAGCTAGCTATGGTGGCACCTGCCTGTAATCCCAGCTACTAGGGAGACTGAGGCAGCAGAATCACTTGGATATGGGAGGCGGAGGCTGCAGTGAGCTGAGATCATGCCCCTGCACTCCAGCCTGGGCGACAGAGTAAGACTGTCTCAAAAAAAATTAAAATTAAAATTAAAAAATGGAAAAATTTAAAACCTCCAGAGAAAGCGTAAGAATAGTACAGTGAACCAATACCTTCACCTAGATCCACCATTGCTAACATTTTGCCAAATTGAGTTAACTTTTGTTGAACAGCTTCCCCTCATATACTTTAATATGTATCTCCTAAGCAAAAAGATATTCCTAACAAAGAAACAGAAACAAAAAATAAAACCAAAATAAACTCAAAAAAGAGGTAAAAGGTATTCTGCATAGTCACATTACAATCACAATCATAAATTTAACATTGATACATACAATACTCTTCTCTTATACCTATACTCTTTATTATATTTTCCCTGGATCTAGACGCAATTGAGGATAAATATGTTAAATCTGGGATGCCTATTAAACATACACATAGTGATGTCAAGATGATAGAACATGAGTCTGGAATTCCAGGATAAGGTTGGATGTTTTGTAGTGAGAAAGTGAATTACTAGAGAAATATAGTTAGACCGGGTGCCCATTTGAGAATGATGATTATAAATTTAAAATGGAGCCAGGCACAGTGGCTCATGCCTGTAATCTCAACACTTTGGGAGGCCAAGGCAGGTGAATCACTTGAGCCCAGGAGTTGAGACCAGCCTGGGAAACATGGCGAAACCCCATCACTACAAAAAATACAAAAATTAGCCAGGCGTAGTGGTGTGTCCCTTTAGTCCCAGCTACTCGGGAGGCTGAGGTGGGAGAATCACTTGAGCCCAGGAGGTCAAGGCTGCAGGGAGCTGTAATCGTGCCACTGCTGTCCAGCCTGGGTGACAGAGTGAGACCCCTTCTCTAAAACATGAAAATAAATATATAAATTTAAAATAAAATCAAGTCAGCCTAGTTGTGATTTTCTCTAGTAATATTCAGCTGAGTGGAAGTAGACAGTTGGTTTTCACCATGCGTAGGTAAATAGCTTAGAGGTGTTAAGAGGCAAGTAATTTGATGGCAATGATAATGGAATAATTATAATGAAGGAACATGGGATTCTATTCTGGGTAAAAGGGAAGCAAAGACAAAAGGTGATAAGCATTATTCTAAAACTCTGTGATTATACAACACCAATTATTATTTTACAAGAAACATTAAATATTTGTCTTATGTAATATTTGCCTCTAGCAAAGACCACCCTGTAGCTTTTCTTTTTAAGAAAATCAACCTTTATTATCAGTAAATATTTACATTTACTATGCAGACACTGTGTTTAGTTCAAAGGATACAAAGAAGTATATGAGCTGTAAGGGAACTGAGAAATCAGTCTACCACCTTCATTTCACAAAAGTACAGCAAAGGTTAAATGACTTATCCAAAATCACAATGCTTGCTCCTGGCAGAACCAAGGTTTCTGAACTTCCAGTCCAATATTCTCTAGATCTCAGCCTCCAAAATACGTCATTAGAAAATTCCTGGAAGAATGTGCAGATATTCACAGGGCTATCCTTGGGTAATGATAATGGGAGTGGAGACATTTCCTACTTTTCACTTCAGTGCTATTGGAATTTTCTGCCATGTACATGAACTGCTTTAATAATAAATATAATGGAGTTAGTTTTTTAAAGAAAAAAAACATGGTATGCTGTGCATAGCAACCAAAACTGGACAGACACTTCCAATTTTTTATTTACCAATTATTTTAAAATTCAAGGCATATTAGCATTCTTGAAAAAATGCAAAGTACACCATTATTTAACAACTGTATTCAAATGAAGCCATTTGGTGGATGATACCAAAATACTGCCCAAATCACTGGATCTTTTCTCACAATCTCAGTGAGATATAAAAGTAAAAATCCTATTGCTACTGTGCAAAGGGAAAAATGGATTGTTCTATTGTAAACTGTAGTCAAATGCTTGTCTTTTTTAAATCAAGGGCACATATGTTTTCCACTCTCCACCTGGCTTACCATAAACTTCATCCCTAGAATCTGCTAAAAAAATATATATTCTTTTTTTTGAGACAGAGTTTTGCTCTGTCACCCAGGCTGGAGTGCAGTGGCGTGATGTCGGCTCACTGAAACCCCCGCCTCCCGGGTTCAAGCAGTTCTCTTCCTTCACCCTCCCAAGTAGCTGGGATTACAGGCGCCCACCACCACACCCAGCTAATTTTTTTTATTTTTAGTAGAGACAGGGTTTCTCTCTAACTCCTGACCTCAGGTGATCTGCCCACCTCAACCTCCCAAAGTGTTGGGATTACGGGCATGAGCCACTGCACCCAGCCTAAAAAAATATTCTTACAACTTTATTTTCTTGAAGACCCCCATATGAAATGTCTTTTCCTTGATACTCACAAGAAAGATTAACTATTTTATTAGGTTCTAATTCTAGTGAATTTTAAAGCAGGCCAGGCGTGGTGGCTCATGCCTGTAATCCCAGCACTTTGGGAGGCTTAGGCAGGCGGATCATGAGGTCAGGAGTTTAAGACCAGCCTGGCCAACATAGTGAAACCCGGTCTCTGCTAAAAAATAAAAATAAAAAATAAATTAGCCGGGCATGGTGGCGTGCACCTGTAGTCCCAGCTACTCGGGAGGCTGAGGCAGGAGAATTGCTGGAACCCGGGAGGCAGAGGTTACAGTGAGCCAAGATCGCGCCACTGCACTCCAGCCTGGGCGACAGAGTGAGACTCTTGTCTCAAAAAAAACCAAAAATTTAAAGTAGTTTATTTCAGTTTCTTGGGTTAGCTTATGGCTTCAGATATATTCCTCAACACAATCCCTCCAAGTAAATTCAAAGTAGATGAATGTGCAAAGAAGCTAGAGTTCAAACAAATTTGGCAGTGGCCACATAGTTCCCAAGACACTTAAAGGGAAAGAGACTGGCTTAACTGGTTTTGTTAATAAAAAGGAAAATAGAGCAGCGCCAATTGCCTAGCTTCCTATTCACCATTCCACCCCACTCCACTCCAGAGTAGTATGAGCTAGGCTTAGGATTGCCACACAGACAAGGCAGGCAAAGGATATGATGTTAAATTCTTTGTTCCATGACTTAACTGTGCTAGACTCTCATTTTTTGGATACAAGGCTTGTTCTGATTGCAAAAATCATCGGACCTTAACCTGGGTTTCAAATAATCATTTAAATATAAGGTTTTGGCCGGGCGCAGTGGCTCACACCTGTAATCCCAGCACTCTGGGAGGCTGAGGCGGATCACCTGAGGTCAGGAGTTCGAAACTAGCCTCGCCAACACGGCGAAACCCTGTCTCTACTAAAAATACAAAAGTTAGCTGGGTGTGGTGGCGTGTGCCTGTAATCCCAGCTACTTGGGAGGCTGAGGCAGGACAATCGCTTGAACCCGGGAGGCGGAAGTTGCAGTGAGCTGAGATGGCACCATTGCACTCCAGCCTGGGCAACAGAGCGAGAGTTCATCTCAAAAAAATATATATTTATATATAAAAAATATGTTTATATGTATTATATACTTTCTATATAATCTATATTATAAATATATTTTTAAATATATATTTATATAATATATTTTTAAATATATATTATATATAAATATATTTTTAAATATATATTATATATAAATATATTTTTAAATATATATATATCTATGGTTTATAACTGTAGCCGTTCTTATACTAAGCAGTGGTTCTACTCTTTAGGAACAGGGATTATCAAACTATGGCCAGCAGGCTAAATCCAAAAAACAAAGCTTTATTGGAACGCTGCCATGTGCCTTTATTTATCTATGACTGCCTTCCCATTAGAACAGCAGAGTTGAGTGGCTGTGACAGAAACGGCATGGCCTGCAAAGCCTAAATATTTACCACATGGCCCTCCACAAAAATGTTTGCTGACTCTTTTGAGATTGCTTCCTCTCTCATCTGCATAAAAGATCCTTCATACCCTGCCCACTGCTCAGCGCTTACTTCCCAACCTATTGTCCCTCACTCCCTTTGTTCCAATTTTACAGAAATACTTGCAGTTATCTAAATTAGCCATGCTCTTGCTTAATTCAGAATCCATGTACTCCCGACTGTCTCCGCTCTGAATGTCATCCTCTCCTTGCCAAACCATTTCAAATGGTCCTTGAAACTTCAGTCATCTCCTCCTGCATCTTCCATGATGCCCGCCCCTCTAATGGACAACAAACTTTTGTGCAATACTGTAATTCTTACAGCAGCCTCCCTTACTAGTTCTTTAATGGCAGAAGTTATGTCTTTTGTTGCTTACTCCTATCCCTTAACACGTAGTTGACACACAGTAAGTGCTGGACACTTGGTTCAATTCTTGAGGGGCATCCACCGGCTTGTGTGGCTCTGGAGCTACCTGGGCTGGAAACGAATACTAGGGGGTGGCGAGGGCCAGCTGCCCTAAGCAGAGACACGTGGGCTACAGGGAGGTGAGGCAACCTCCGCAAACACCACCTGTTCCAGAAAAGCTCCAAATGCTCCAACGGGCGACCCCTCCCCTTTTCTAGCTTTTCTTGCATAGCTTGACATTTCCAACGGTAGTTAATTTGTGAGGGGTTTTTAGACCATAACTCTTGGGAGGAGAGACCTCGTATGTTATATCGATCTGGGCAGGCAGCAAGTCTTCCAAAGAAAGACTTCCTCCACCTCCGCCCGGTCCTCCCACCTCGGAGGACTCCAGGCTGCCCAGGGGCGGACCCCTGGGGCCCAGGTGAGAGGTGGCAGAGGGTGCCAGCATCGCGGGCGTCTAGGCCGAGAGGCCGGTCCCAGCCCGGCCAGGCCGCGCCGCCCCAAGCCTCCCAATCCCCCGGGTTCCCTCGGCTCCCCTCGCCCACCGGCGGCCTTGTTCCCATCTCCCTCACTCCCAACCCGGCGGCTCTCACCTCGGTCCCAGACTCAGCCCTATGGAAGGCACTACACATCGCCCCGAAGGCTCGGCGCAGGAGAGACTCAACTTTCCCGCCACCAACGCCATTCACCAACTGCGCAGACTCTACGGCCAGTCAAACCCGCCCACCCGCGCGCGTGCGCACTGCGCCAGGCCGCGGCCGGGGAGGCGGGAGCATGCGCAATAGGGTGTGCGGGCCTCCCCGCCCCGCCCCCAGTTCCTGTGACGTCAGACTTCCGCGTCCCCCGCGGCGCTCTCCCGCGTCCCCTTGGAGATCGCTCCGGGGTGGCGGGGACAGCTGGTGCTTTTCTTGTCTGTTGTAAACTTTGGTTCGTTATTATTATATTAGGTAAAGCTGGTCTTATGTATTAATTTGTTTAACCATTAAAAATAATTGTATTGCACAAGCAGGCCCCTTTGTCCGTTCTCGGGTTAAAAGCCTCTGGCTGTGTGTGCGATTCATGGTTAATTCTGGAAAAAAAGAGAAAAGTATACTGTATTTAAAAGAATTTTTAAAATATACCGAGCCTGTGGATTTATCAAGTTGCTTTTTGAGGTAGGCAGGAGGATCACTGGAAGTCGGGAGTTCGAGACCAGCCTGGCCAAAATGGTGAAACCCCGTCTACAGTAAAAATACAAAAATTAGCCAGGTGTGGTGGCGCATGCCTGTAATCCCAGCTACTCAGGGAGGCTGAGGCAGGAGAATCGCTTGAACCAGGGAGGCAGAGGTTGCAGTGAGCCGAGATCGCGCCATCACACCTGAGCGGCAGAGCGAGACTCTGTCTCAAAAAAAAAAAAAGACAAAAATTTGGATATAGTAGCATTGGCCATTATTATCAAGATGACAAAATGTTTTCTGGAATGAAAAAGTTTCATGCAAAGATATACTTTTCACCCACCTAGTTTAGTTTTCAAAAACGCTAGGAAAGAGCATATACCAATGAAGTATTTCTCATGGGTAATATTAAAGTTGCTCATTTTGTAAATTGGAATGGTTTTGGTTCCAAGTCACAGAAAACCCAACTCTTACGTCCTGAAACAAATGGGCTTTACCGGGTGACATCACTAGAAGTCCAAAGGTAAGACAGGCTTCAAGGTTAGTTTAATTGAGAGGCTTGATGAGGCAAACAAGTACCTCATTTCTTTTTACCTCAGATTCATGTTTTCTACCTTGGCCTCTTCTCTACGTAGGGCTGCGGGCCCGTATCTGAAACATTAACAACCATCAGGAATGAGGTTGGTCTGGTTAGCTTAGGCCTGAATCGTGTGCCCCACTTACTTTTCTTTTTTTCTTTTTTTTTTTTTTTTTGGAGACGGAGTCTCATTGCACTCTCGCCCAGGCTGGAGTGCAGTGGTACCATCTCGGCTCACTGCAACCTCTGCCTCCCGGGTTCAAGTGATTCTTCTGCCTCAGCCTCCCAAGTATCTGGGACTACAGGCACGTGCCACCACGCCAGGCTAATTTTTGTATTTTTAGTAGAGATGGGGTTTCACCATATTGGCCAGGCTGATCTCGAACTCCTGACCTTGTGATCTGCCTGCCTCGGCCTCCCAAAGTGCTGGGATTACAGGCGTGAGCCACCGCGCCTGGCCCTGTGTGCCCCACTTCTATCCGGAGTAGAGACATATTTTTTCAAAGCACACAGGCCTTGTGGAAAGGTGTGGAGAACAGTAAATGACAACAATAACAACAAATTGTGAATCATTAACAAGAGGAGTGGGAGTGGATGCTTGGGAGGCCACCTCTACCGTCTTTTTTTTTTCTTTTTTCCCTTTCCTATGGTGCTGAACCACCTATATCTTCATTACACCCTCTGTAATGAGGATATGTGTATACCAAACCACATGTGTAGGTCAACCCCCTCGTCCAATTCCACACACTTCTATACAAAGTAAATATTTCCTCACATAGTAAATCAATATTTGAGAAAGGAGACTTTACAATTAAATAGCTGCTCTAGGCTAAATTAGTTTTTCAGTCTCCACACTGTTCCTAATGAAGAAGACATGTCAGCTGAACTAGTTTAGTCCATTAAGTGCACACCTGTTCGTGTGAGTGCAACATGGTTTTGAAATCACTTCAGTTTTAATGCTCCGGAAACATCACTTCTCGTTTAAAAGGATACTTGAAGCGCTCTCACAAACTGCTGGTAGGCATGAAAACATACGGTCTTTTTGGAAAGGAATTTGGCAATATCTTTTTTTTTTTTTTTTTAATTAATAGAGATGGGGTTTCGCCATGTTGCCTAGGCTGGTTTACAACTCCTGGGCTCAAGTGATCCTCCTGCCTCCTAAAGTGCTGGGATTACAGGCATGAGCCACTGCACCTGGCCGATTTTGGCACTATCTAACAAAATGACGCATTTATTAACTTTTTCACTCAGCAATCCTACTTCTAAGAATTTAGCTTGAAGTCATACTTCCAACATTGCAAAAACGTGTATGCAAAAAAAGCATATTGCAGCATGGTTTGTAATTGCAAAATCTTGGAAATGGCCTAAATGTTTATACATAGGAGAGTGGTTGAAAACAATACGGCACTGCCACAAAATGGAGCACTATGCAGCTGCAACAAAGAATGGCCAAGATCTCTATGCATCTGTAAGGAATGATTTCCAGGATATAGTGTTAAGTGAAAAAGGCAAAGAGGAAGGGGTGTCTACAGTTTGCTAGCTTTCTTGTAACAAGGGAGGGGAAAGAAAAAGATACACATGTCTCTGCTCATTTGGGTAAAAAGAAACACAGGAAGAATACATGAGAAGCAAAGAGGATTCTTTATCTACGGAGGGTAGATAAAAATAGGTTGGAAAAAATGGAGGATGAAAATAGGGTAAAAGAGATGGGGTGAGGGACACTTCCCTATGTGTAACTTTTTTTGATAGCTCCAATTTTTTTTTTCTTTTTTTTCTGAGACAGAGTCTTGTTCTGTCACCCAGGCTGGAGTGCAATGGCAGAATCCTGGCTCACTGCAACCTCTGTCTCTGGGTTCAAGTGATTCTCATGCCTCAGCCTCCTCAGTAGCTGGGATTACAGGCACCTGCCACCACGCCTGGCTAATTGTATTTTTGGTAGAGATGGGGTTTCACCATGTTGGTCAGGTTGGTCTGGAACTCATGACCTCAGGTGATCCACCAACCTCGCCATCCCCAAAGTGCCAAGATTACAGGTATGAGCCACCATGACTGGCCAGCTCTAACTTTTAGAAACACATGATGTTTTACCTCCTAAAAAAGAAATCATCAGTGGCTTACGCCTGTAATCCCAGCACTTTGGGAGGCTGAGGCTGGTAGATCACCTGAGGTCAGGAGTTTGAGACTAGCCTGGCAAACATGACAAAATCCTGCCTCTACTAAAAATATAGAAATTAACCGGGTGTGGTGGTGCATGACTGTAATACCAGCTACTCGGGAGGCTGAGACAGGAGAATTGCTTGAACAGGGAGGTGGAGGTTGCAGTGAGCTGAGATCATGCCATTGCACTCCAGCCTGCACAACAGAGTGAGACTCTGTCTCAAAAAAGAAAAAAACAAAACAAAAGCAAGATCATGTCCTTTGCAGGAACATGGACGGAGCTGGAGACCACTATCCTTAGCAAAAAAACGCAAGAACAGAAAACCAAATACCACATGTTGTCACTTATAATTGGGAGCTAAATGATGAGAACTCATGCACGAAAAGAAAGGAACAACACACACTGAGGCCTACTTCAGACTGGAGGGTGGGAGGAGGGAGAGGAGCAGAAAAAATAACTACTGGGTACTAGGCTTAGTACCTGGGTGACGAAGTAATTCCTACAACAAACCCCCATGACATGAGTTTACCTGTATAACAAACCTGCACACGTACCCCTGAACCTAAAATTAAAATGTTTAAAAATTGCCACAGTAGGCCGGGCACAGTGGCTCATGCCTATGGCGCCACTACACTCCAGCCTGGTGACAGAGTGAGACTGTCTAAAAAAAAAAAAAAAAAGAAAAAAAGAAAAACAAATTGCCACAGTAATAGTTTGGAAGAGGAGATTAAGAGTAATCAATTGATACTAAAATTACTGGATAAAAGTATAATTAAAGACAGACTATAGCCTAAAGTATCTCCCTACAAGATACTTGTTAATTACAAAGAAAAGAGTGACCCTGCCATGGAGAAACTTTTTTTTTTTTAAATTGAGACAGAGTTTCGCTCTGTCGCCCAGGCTGGAGTGCAGTGGCGCGATGCAACCTCCACCTCCCGGGTTCAAGAGGTTCTTTTACCTCAGCCTCCCGAGTAGCTGGGACAACAGTCGTGCAACACCACGCCTGGCTAATTTTTGTATTTTTAGTAGCAACCAAGTTTCACCATATTGTCCAGGCTGGTCTTGAATTCCTGACCTCATGATCTGCCCGCCTTGGCCTCCCAAAGTGCTGGAATTACAGGCGTGAGCCACCGTGCTCGGCCGCCCAGCTAATTTTTTTGTATTTTTAGTAGAGACGGGATTTCACCATGTTGGCCAGACTGGTCTTGAACTCCTGACTTCAGGTGATCCACCCACCTCAGCCTCCCAAAGTGCTGGGGTTACAGGTGTGAGGCACCATGCCCTGCACCATGGAGAAACCTATTAAACATCACCTTAACCAAGTGATCCAACTTAACATCACCTGTAATGAGAAAAATAGGTATCACGTGCCTCCTAATACAGTGCACTGGGAAGAACACAGCATCCTTTCTGTGGTATTCCCACCGAAAATGCATAACCCAAATCTAATCATGCACAAACATTACACAAACCCAAACTGAGGTACATTATATTCTAGAATATAACCAACCAGTATTATTTTAAAAATCTAGATTAAAAAAACGAAAACAAAAACGTGGCTGGGCACAGTGGCTCCCGCCTGTAAGACCAGCACTTTGAGAGACTGAGATGGGTGGATCACCTGTTGTCAGGAGTTCAAGACCAGCCTGGCCAACATGGTGAAACCCCGTCTCTACTAAAAATACAAACATTAGCCAGGCATGGTGGCAGGTGCCTGTAATCCCAGCTACTCCACAGGCTGAGACAGGAGAATCGCTTGACCCTGGGAGATGGAGGTTGCAGTGAGCAGAGATTATGACACTGCACTCCACCCTGTGCAACACAGTGAGATTCCATCTCAAACAAAAGACTGAGGAACTATTCCAGATTAAGGGTGACTAAAGAGGCATGACACCTATATATTAATATAATGTGTGATCCTGAACTGGATTCTGAACCAGAAAAATACATTAGTGAGACAGTTGGTAAAAGCTGAATATGTCTGTTATTTATTTATTTATTTTCTGGAGACAGGGTCTTTGTTACCCAGGTTGGAGTGCAGTGGTACCATCTAGGCTCACTGTAACTTCTGCATCCTGGGCTCAAGTGATTCTCATGCCTCAGCCTCCTAAGTAGCTGGGATTACAGGCGTGCACCACCACACCTGGCTAGTTTTTGTACTTTTGTAGAGACTGGGTCCTGCTATGTTGCTCAGGCTGGTCTTGAAATCCTGGGCTCAAGTGATCCTTCCATCTTGACCTCGCAAAGTGCTGAGATTATAGGTGTGAGCCACTGGACCTGGCCACATATGTAATTTAGATAATTTTTTATCAATATTAATTTCATAATTCTGAAATTATGCTCTAATGTTCTGAGAGAAAGCCCTTGTTTCAAGAAAATATACACTGATGTCTTTAGACATCTTTTTTTTTTTTTTTAATGACAGAGTCTCGCTCTGTCGCCAGGCTGGAGTACAGTGGTGCGATCTCGGCTCACTGCAACCTCCGCCTCCCAGGTTCAAGCAATTCTCCTCCCTCAGCCTCCCAAGTAGCTGGGACTACAGGTGCACAGCACCATGCCCAGCTAATTTTTGTATTTTTAGTAGAGACAGGGTTTCTTCATGTTGGTCAGGCTGCTGTCGAACTCCCGACCTCAGGTGATCCACCTACCTTAGCCTCCTAAAGTGCTGGGATTACAAGCATGAGCCACCACGGCCAGCCAAGATTTTTTCCTAAAGATATTTCTATTAGTATGAATGAATTTCAAATTCACTTATTTAAAATCATCAGAAACAAATAGAAAGTCAATCTACAAAGCTACGCCTGGTCAGGCATGGTGGCTAATCCATATAATCCTAGCACTTTGAGGGGCAAAGGTGGGACAATTGTTTGAGCTTAGGAGTTCAAGACCAGCCTGGGCAACATAGTGAGAACTTGTCTTAAAAAAAAAAAAAAAAAGGCCGGGCATGGTAGCTCACGCCTGTAATCTTAGCACTTTGGGAGGCCGAGGTGGGTGGATCACCTGAGGTCAGGAGTTCCAGACCAGCCTGACCAACATGGCGAAACCCCGTCTCTACGAAAAATACAAAAATTAGCCAGGCATAGTGGTGGGCGCCTATAATCCCAACTACTTGGGAGGCTAAGGCAGGAGAATCGGTTGAACCCGGGAGGTGGAGATTGCAGTGAGCCGAGATCGTGCCATTGCACTCCAGTCTGGGTGACAGAGCGAGACTCTGTCTCAAAAAACCAAACCAAACCAAACAAAAAAACCAACAAAAAAAACCCTATGCCTAAAGAGTCATTCAATCGCTGGCTTTTCAATCAATACAGTTCAGGGTCAAGTAGACAAATAGAAGCAGGATAGCAGGGTGGAATGGTTCTGGAATGAGGGTCAAGAGATTCAAAATCTGTCATCAGCTCTGCTCTCCCTACGTGATTCTGGGCCGGGCCTCTGAGACATGATGGCCTCCACTTCTTTCTTGGGGATTTGGATGAGATGACAGATCTTCCATCACTACTATAAGGCCTGTGGTCTTTCTAGCATGTTAAGTTGCTTCCAGATGATTCCAAGGATCTAAGGCCATTTACAAGGCTAGATTCTATGATTCTTTAGTATGAGGAAGCAAGAAGCTAGAGGAAATGGGCATGTTTATTAAGGTGCCAATAGGTTATAACCTAAATTTTCATTCCCTTTTCCCAGGGGAATAACAACAGCTAAATGAGTATCAGCTAAATGAATATTCCCTTATGCTAAAGTCTTTCTCACTGAACTTCTTTTCTTTTTTATGTACTTGGGGTTAGTTAATTGCACTTTTCAATTTGTGGCCAGTTCTCTGCTCCTGCAGGCCCTGCTCTTCTTCATTTATTTATTCCCTCTTAGTCCCATTTCTTACTCCCTATCTCATCCCTGCATAGGCAATTACTCTAATGTATTTTAAATATTTACTTGTGTTTGTAACTTCCTTGCCAAAAAAAGTAGTTTTGTTTTGAATGCGTACTTATTTGTAATTTGTATGAAGAGTTGTGATCGTTCGGTGTTCAGGCTGGTACCCTTTACTCTCAAATTCTCTTCTTTCCCCACTCTGCTTTGTATCACACGAGAGGGCAGGGGACGGGAGAGTGGGGTGGGAGGAGGGGAGGCGTGGGCTGACCTTTCCAACTGCGTTTCCGGGTTCCCAGGTGAGCTTCCTTCTGAGCTCACCGTGGGCGGCACAGTGGGGAGCCTAAAGGAGGGAGGAAGAGGAAGGCAGCAGATGCTGTGTCTCCGGGAGCAGGCTAAATTCTATTTTAAAAGTACTTAAAGTCTAAATGAGTTAATATTTATAATAAAAAATAATTAAAGGGGCCAGGCGCAGTGGCTCATGCCTGTAATCCTAGGACTTTGGGAGGCTAAGACGGGAGGATCACCTGAGGTCAGGAGTTTGAGACCAGCCTGGCCAACATGGCGAAACACCATCTCTACTAAAAATACAAAAAAATTAGCCGGGTGTGGTGGTGCACACCCATAATCCCAGCTACTAGGGAGGCTGAGGCAGGACAATCGCTTGAACCCGGGAGGCAAGAGGTTGCGTTGAGCCGAGAATGCACCATTGCACTGCAGCCTGACAAGAGTGAAACTTCGTCTAAAAAAAAAAACTTAAAGTAGTTTCTGTTTTCCTGATTAATCCCCTGCTGATACGTTTAGTTTTCCCCCTTTTTATGGACACCATATTTTAAGGCCTAACTGTGCTTTTCTGTGTGCACATATACCACTCTCTAACTGCCATGGAGCATCTGGGCTGTGCATCCTCCACGTTTCACTTTCCCACATCCCCTAAAAAAAAAGTGCCTCCTACTCCAATAACTGTGCACAACTGTCTGAGGAACACTCTTGGATACATGAGCCCTATGGATCTTTTGTATAAATGTTTCTGCAATCTGTATTCTGGAATGGGATGACTAGGTCATAGAGCACACACATGCCCACCTTGACTAAGTCCTACCAGACTTCTGTATGGGATGGAGACGACATTTCCTCTTTGCCTCAGCCTCATCTCCTGGCATCAGCCTATTGTACAATTTCATTTACATAAAATGTCCAGAATAGATCAGTTTAGAGACAGAAAGGAGATTAGCAGCTCCCTATGACCAGAGAAGATAGGAAACTTGGGGGCGATGGCTAATGGGTTTGGTTTTTTTTAGGGTAACAAAAATGTTTGGTTTTTTTTGTTTGTTTTATTTTGTTTTGAGACAGGGTCTCACTCTCTTGCCCAGACTGGAATGCAGTGGCCCAATCTTGGTTCACCGCAACCCCTGCGTCTCAGGCTCATGGGCTTCTCCCACCTCAGTCTCCTGAGTAGCAGGGATTGCAGGCACACATCACTACCACCCAGATAATTTTTTTTTTTTGAGATGCAATCTGCAGTGGAATGGCTCGATCTCGGCTCACCGCAACCTCTGCCTCCCGGGTTCAAGTGATTCTCCTGCCTCAGCCTCCCGAGTAGCTGGGATTACAGGTGCACACCATGCCTGGCTACTTTTTGTATTTTTAGTAGAGATAGGGTTTCACCCCCTGTCTCTACTAAAAAATACAAAAAATTAGCCGGGCGTGGTAGCAGGCACCTGTAGTCCCAGCTACTCAGGAGGCTGAGGCAGGAGAATGGCGGGAACCCGGGAGGCGGAGCTTGCAGTGAGCCAAGATAGCACCACTGCACTCCAGCCTGGGCGACAGAGCGAGACTCCGTCTCAAAAAAAAAAAAAAAGAGGGACCGGGTTTCACCATGTTGGCCAGGTTGGTCTTGAACTGCTGACCTTGTGAACTGCCCGCCTCGGCCTCCCAAAGTGCTGGGATTGCAGGCGTGAGCCACCGCACCCGGCCTAATTTTTGTATTTTTAGTAGAGATGGGGTTTCACCATGTTGGCCAGGCTGGTCTTGAACTCCTGACCTCAAATGATCCAACCACCTCGGCTTCCCAAAGTGCTGGGATTACAGGTGTGAGCCATCGTGCCCGGCCCAAAAATGTTTTAAAACTGGTTGTGATTGTGGTGATTGATTCACTACTCTGTGAATGGACTAAAAGTCCAGACGAAAGTATAATTATACACTTTATTTATGTATTATTTTAAATGGGCAGCCTCCTGAGCCGGAGTGTGTTCAGAGATTCCTAATTATACTTTTTTTTTTTGAGAGGGAGTCTCACTATGCTGCCCAGGCTGGAGTCCAGTGGCACGATCTCATCTCACTGCAACTTCCACCTCCCAGGTTCGAGTGATTCTCCTGCATCACCTTCCCAAGTAGCTGGGACTGCAGGTGTGCACCACCATGCCCAGCTAATTTTTGTATTTTTAGTAGAGATGGGGTTTCACCATGTTGGCCAGGCTGGTCTCAAACTGCTGACCTCAAATGATCCACCTGCCTTGGCCTCCCAAAGTGCTGGGATTGCAGGTGTGAGCCACCATGCCCAGCCTAATTATACATTTTAAGTAGGTCAGTTATATAGGATGTGAATCATATCTCAGTAAAGCTGCATAAAAAAAGGCTATGAGGCCAGGAACAGCTGCTCACACCTGTAATCCCAGCACTTTGGGAGGCTGAGGCGAGAGGAGAGCTTGAGCCCAGGAGTTTGAGACCAGCCTGAGCAACATAGCAAGACCCTGTCTGTACAAAAAAATAATAATAATAAGAGGAAGAAAATTTGCCAGGCATGGTGGCTCATGCCTGTAGCCCCAGCTACTAGGGAGGCTGAGGCATGAGGATCACCTGAGCCCAGAAGTTGAAGGCTGCAATACACCATGCTCATGCCATGGGCAATAGAGTGAGACTCTGTCTCAAAAAAATAATAATAATAAAATAAAATAAAGAAAGAAATAAAAGAAAAAAAAAGCTATGAGGTTTTGAAATGGGCTACAATGACATTCCCCTTTTTAAAAAATTGTTTTTAAACTTCGTTTTTTTTCTTCTTTTTTTTGAGATGGAGTTTCACTCTTGTTGCCCAGGCTGGAGTGCAATGGCCCGATCTCAGCTCACTGCAACCTCCACCTCCTGGGCTCAAGTGATTTTCCTGCCTTAGCCTCCCGAGTAGCTGGGATTACAGGCATGCACCAGCATGCCCGGCTAATTTTGTATTTTTAGTAGAGATAGGGTTTTGCCATGTTGGTCAGGCTGGTCTCAAACTCCTGACCTCAGGTGATCCACCCGCCTTGGCCTCCCAAAATGCTGGGATTATAGGCATGAGCCACTACACCTGGCCAAAAAAAAATTTTTTTTTTAATTATTATTTTTTTGAGACAGAGTCTCGCTCTGTCGCCCAGGCTGGAGTTCAGTGGCACAATCTCGGCTTACTGCAAGCTCTGCCTCCCAGGTTCACGCCATTTTCCTGCCTCAGTCTCCCAAGTAGCTGGGACTACAGGCACCCAGCACCACGCCTGGCTAATTTTTTGTATTTTAGTAGAGACAGGGTTTCACCATGTTAGCCAGGACGGTCTCAATCTCCTGACCTTGTGATCCCCCCGCCTCAGCCTCCCAAAGTGCTGGGGTTACAGACATGAGCCACTGCGCCCGGCCTTTTTAAATTTTTTTAAACACAACTATGCACACATCAGTCATATCAGAATAAAATTTTACTTCTTAGAGACAGCTTTTTTGGTCATATGTATGTGTCTTTTGGGTTCTATGGTATAGGACTTCCTATTCTCTTTCTCTTTTTATTTATATTTACATATATGTATATATATATATATGTAAATATATATATTAACAGTCCTTAGCATAAAAACCTATTATATACGTAGGGATGGAATTAAGAGAATTTTCTTATCTTTGTGAGGTAAAAAACATTTCAGAGGAAGATGTAACAAAACTATCCAGACAGGCCGGGCGCAGTGGCTCATGCCTGTAATCCCAGCACTTTGGGAGGCCAAGGCAGGCAGATCACTTGAAGTCAGGAGCTCGAGACCAGCGTGGCCAACATGGTGAAACCCCGTCTCTAAAAATACACAAATTAGCCAGGCGTGATGGCGCGCACCTGTAGTCCCAACACTCGGGAGGCTGCGGCACAATAATCACTTGAAGCTGGCAGATGGAGGTTGCAGTGAGCTGAGATCGTGCCACTGCACTCCAGGCTGGGTGACAGAACAAGACTCCCTCTCAAAAACAAAACAACAACAATAAAAAACTATCCAGACTGGATTTGAATCACTATTTTAGTGTAGCAGTTCTCAAACTTTTGGGGCCAACAACTCTGTACTCTTAAAAATTATTGCCGGGGACCGGGCACGGTGGCTTACGCCTGTAATCCCAGCACTCTGGGAGGCCAAGGTCGGCAGATCACAAGGTCAGGAGTTCAAGACCAGCCTGACCAACATAGTGAAACCCCATCTCTACTAAAAATACAAAAAGTTAGCTGGGCGTAGAGATGGGCACCTGTAATCCCAGCTACTCTGGAGGCTGAGGAAGGAGAATCACTTGAACCCAGGAGGTGGAGGTTGCAGTGAGCCAAGATCGCGCCATTGCACTCCAGCCCCGGAGACAGTGCGAGACTCCGCCTCAAAAAAAAAAAAAAAAAATTGCAGCAGTGGCTCACGCCTGTAATCCTAGCACTTTGGGAGGCCGAAGCAGGTGGATCACTTGAGGTCAGGAGTTCGAGACCAGCCTGGCCAACATGGTGAAACCCCATCTCTACTAAAAATGCAAAAATTAGTTGGGCGTGGTGGCACATGCGTGTAGTCCCTGTTACTCGGGAGGCTGAGGCAGGAGAATCGCTTGAACCCAGGAAGCAGAGGTTGCAGTGAGCTGAGATCGTGCCAATGCACTTCCACCTGGGCGACAGAGCGAGACTCCGCCTCAAAAAACAAAAAAAAACAACAAAAAAATCAAAATAACAACAACAAAAAACTATCCAGACTGGATTTGAATAACTATTTTAGTGTAGCAGTTCTCAAACTTTTTGGGCCAGTAACTCTGTACTCTTAAAAATTATTGTTGGCTGGGCGTGGTGGCTTGCACCTGTAATCCAGCACTTTGGGAGGCCAAGGTGGGCAGATCACCTGAGATCGGGAGTTCGAGACCAGTCTGACCAACATGGAGAAACCCCATCTCTACTAAAAATACAAAATTAGCCGGGCGTTGTGGCGCATGCCTGTAATCCCAGATACTTGGGAGGCTAAGGCAGGAAAATCGCTTGAACCCAGTGTTACCGGGGGTCCTTGCTCCCAGAGCTCCCATGATGGTGGCGGGCTGCTTCCAAGATGGTGGCGGGCCGCTTCCAAGATGGTGGCAAGCCTCATGTTCTCTGACCTGGTGTTCTTGGCCTCACTGATTCCAAGGAATGGAATCTTGGCCCATGTGGTGAGTGTTATAGCTCTATTAGAAGCCGCGGGTCACGGAAGAGAACCATGGAACCCAACGACTAGTGTTCAGCCCGATTAGGACAAAGCCGGGCACTTAGCCACGCAGGAATAATTGCGAGCCTCTAGCCCAATCAGGAGCAGCAATGGGCGCCTCACTGGATCAGAAGGGCAGCGGACACCCTGCCGGATCCGGAGGGATGGAAGTCAGTGGCGGGTCTGCGACGGCGGCAAACAGCAGTGGTGGACGGCAAGCAAAAGCTCAGCTTGAGCCATAACAAACACGGACCAGAAAAGTGGGCAGTTGCAAGATTTAATAGAGTGAAAACAGAGCTCCCATACAAAGGGAGGGGACCCAAAGAGGGTAGCCATTGCCGGCTCGAATGCCTGGGTTTATTTCCCGATCATTGTCCCTCCCGCTGTGCTCTCAGGCAATAGATGTTTGGCTATTTCTTTACCTCCTGCTTTTGCCTAATTAGCATTTTAGTGAGCTCTCTTTACTACCTGATTGGTCGGGTGTGAGCTAAGTTGCAAGCCCCGTGTTTAAAGGTGGATGCAGTCACCTTCCCAGCTAGGCTTAGGGATTCTTAGTTGGTCTAGGAAATCCAGCTAGTCCTGTCTCTCACCGGGAGGCGGAGGTTGCCGTGAGCTGAGATCGCACCATTGCACTCCAGCCTGGGCAACAAGAGCAAAACTACGTCTTAAAAAAAAAAAAGAAATAAAAAAATTATTGCCGGGCGCAGTGGCTCACGCCTGTAATCCCAACACTTTGGGAGGCCGAGGCAGGTGGATCACCTGAGGTCAGAGTTCGAGACCAGCCTGACCAACATGGTGAAACCCTGTCTCTACTAAAAAATACAAAATTAGCCAGGCTCAGTGGAGCATGCCTATAATCCCAGCTACTCAGGAGGCTGAGGTAGGAGAATCCCTTGAACCCAGGAGGCTGAAGTTGCAGTGAGTTCATTGCACTCCAGCCTAGGCAACGGAGCAAGATTCCATCTCAAAAAATATATATATTAAGGACCCCAACAAAGTTTTTGTTCATGAAGGTTATATCAACTGATATTTACCATACTACAAATAAAATGGAGAAATGACAATTTTCTTTATTTATTCAACCAATTACATGTGCACATAAAAAACTTACTTTATTAAAAACTTTATTTTCTGTAATAAAATATTGGGAAGAGTAGCATTGCTTTTCATTTTTGCAAATCTCTTTAATGGCTGGCTTATGTGAATGGTTAGCTGCAAGCTCATGTCAGCTTCTGAACTCAATCTGTCATGGTACCAACATAATGTGAATGCCGACGCAACAGAAAAAGAAAATGACCTCTCAGTATTTTTACGAACATAGTTTTGATCTTGTGAACCCCGTGAAAGTCATCCTGAAAAGTCTCCAGGGGTCATTTTTTTTTTAAACTATTTTTTGAAACGAAGTCTGGCTCTGTTGTCCAGGCTGGAGTGCAGTGGCAAGATCTGGGTTCACTGCAAACTCCACCTCCCAGGTTCCAGGGGTCTTTAGATCATACTTTTACAACCACTGGTTAAGGCTGGGGACAGTGGCTCATATCTGTAATCCCAGCACTTTGTGAGGCTGAGGTGGGCAGATCACTTGAGGTCAGGAGTTCAAGACCAGCCTGGCCAACATTGTGAAACCCCGGTTCTTCTAAAAATAGAAAAATTAGCCGGGTGTGGTGGCCTATGCCTGTAATCCCAGCTACTCGAAAAGCTGAAGTGGGAGAATTGCTTGAACCCAGGAGGTGGAGGTTGCAGTGAGCCGAGATTGCGCCACTGCAGTCCGCAGTCCGGCCTGGGCGACAGAGCGAGACTCCGTCTCAAAAAAAAAAAAAAAAAAAAAAAAAAAAAAAAAGGCTATAAATTGGGTGGTTCAGTGTGTACTTGCTCAGGTGATGTGTACACCAAAATCTCACAAATCACCACTAAAGAATTTACTCATGTAACCAAATACCACCTGTTCCCCCAAAACTTATGAAAATAAAATAAAAACAATTTAAAAAATAAAAAATAAACAACAACAAAAAAACCTGTGCACCTATTATGGGAACACACATCCTGGTGGAGAAGACGGTGGGAAGCCTAGGAAAGCAGAAATGGGGAAGGGAGGTGATTATAGGGAGACCCTGCCAGAGACTGCCAGGCCCATGGGGAAAATGAGAGGCAAAGCCAGCATGGGAGCACACAAGGGGTTAAGCCGTCTGCTCATTGGTGGATATCTCATTCTGTTGGAAGCAGAGCATCCGATACAAACTTTACTTGGATGTAACAAAATTTAAAAACTGTTCAAAAGGATGTTAAATGAGAGGAATTGTTATATAAAACTTAATTCTCGGCTGGGCTGGGTGACTCATGCCTGTAATCCCAGCACTTTGGGAGGCTGAGGCAGGGGGATCACTTGAGGCCAGGAGTTCGAGACCAGCCTGGCCAACATGGTGAAACCCCGTCTCTACTAAAAATACAAAAAATTAGCCAGGGGTGGTGGCATGTGACTGTAATCCCAGCTACTGGGGAGGCTGAGGCAGGAGAATCACTTGAACTCAGGAGGTGGAGTTTGCAGTGAACCGAGGTCATGCCAATGAACTCCAGCCTGGGCGACAGAGCAAGATTCCATCTTAAAAAAAAAACTTAAATTCTGCAACAACTTAATTCTGAGTGGAAAGGGCAGTGGAAAGTAAGCTTGTAATCTTAGAGGAAGCATGGGGTCCAGTCGGGTATGTCCTAGACCTAAGAATAGTAGAATTTCAGAGAAGGAAAAAAATAGAGCTGAAACTGTGTGGATAGATAATTTAAAAGAGAATAGGGTCAAAGAAAGATAAGTTTCTAAAAATGAGTAAGTCCTTATATCATGCAATTGTCATAGACGTGATATATTTTTATTAAACCAAACATTTAATAATTTGTGAATAAGATGGACAAATAAGACTAACAAAACAGATTCACTATTTCAAAATCTTTATTTCTAGAAGGCTTAAAAGACTACAGCCAATATCCTTAGACTCCTCAATGACCCTCTAAGTATCCATCTATCAGAAATACTAGCACACTGGCCAGGTGCAGTGGCTCATGCCTGTAATCCCAGCGCTTTGGAGGCTTGAGTGGGAAGATTGCTTGAGCCCAGGAGTTCAAGACCAGCCTGGGCAACATAGTGAGACTCCATCTATACAAGAAAAAATCAAATAAAATGAAGAAATAATAGCACACATACATAAACAAATATTTGCAAAGATGTGTACTGTATCCTTGCACTAGAAAAAGTAAAATAATGCAAATGTCTGTAAATAAATGCTTACCTTAATAAATTATGGTGATTCCATGGAACAAAATAGTACATAGCTCTCATAGCAGATGTAAATCTATATATAGGTATGAAAAAGGTATGGACGGAATATTGTTCTGTAAAGGCCAGGCCTGGTGGCTCATGCCTGTAATCTCAGCACTTTGGGAGGCCGAGATGGGCAGATCACTTGAGGTCAGGAGTTCAAGACTAGCCTGGCCAACATGGTAAAAACCCATCTCTACTAAAAATATAAAAATTAGCCAGGGGTGGTGGCACACACCTGTAATCCCAGCTACTCGGGAGGCTGAGTCAGGAGAATTGCTTGAACCTGGGAGGTGGAGGTTGCAGTGAGCCCAGTTCATGCCTCTGCACTCCAGCCTGGGCAACAGAGAGAGACTCCATCTCAAAAGATAAAAATAAATAGATAGATAGATGATAGATAGATAGATAGATAGATAGATAGATAGATAGATAGATAGAGAATGATGGGAGCAAGGTGTCTCACTGTTGGGGTAGGAATTTACAGGTAAGCAAGGGAAGTAGGCTAGAACAATCAATATGGTAATGGAATAGAGTTAGATGGATTAGTAAGAACTCATATTTTGCTTAATATAGATACACGTAGTAACATATATAAATATTTATAGATATGGGGAGGGTTACTATACTCACGCATATTTATGTGCTCTGTCATCTGAGAGGTCTTAGGAGAAATGATATCACGGTAGTAGTGAGCACATCCAGACCATGGTTTCTGATACTATTAGAATACAACAGCATCCAGACCATGGTTTCTGATACTATTAGAATACAACAGCATCCAGACCATGGTTTCTGATACTGTTAGAATACAACAGCATCCAGACCATGATTTCTGATACTATTAGAATTATTAGAGTACAACAGCATCCAGACCATGATTTCTGATACTATTAGAATTATTAGAATACAACAGCATCCAGACCATGCTTTCTTTTCTTTTTTCTTTTCTTTTTTTTTTTTTTGAGACAGAGTTGCACTCTTGTTTCCCAGGCTGGAGTACAGTGGCACGATCTCGGCTCACCACAACCTCTGCCTCCTGGGTTCAAGCGATTCTTCTGTCTCAGCCTCCCAAGTAGCTGGGATTACAGGCACATGCCACCACGCCTGGCTAATTTTTGTATTTCTAGTAGAGATGGGGTTTCATCATATTGGTCAGGCTGGTCTCGAACTCCTGACCTCAGGTGATCCACCCACCTTGGCCTCCCAAAGTGCTGAGATTCCAGGCCTGAGCCCCAGCGCCCGGGCTAAGACCATGATTTCTAATACCATTTTCCTACAAAAGGAATCAGGGCTCCTCAGAGAAATGGTTTATTCTAGAACTGGGGCAGAAATATACAAAATGAGTCTGAAGCTTTTTTTTTTTTTTGGAGACAGGATCTTGCTCCATCACCCAGGCTGAAATGCAGTGGTGCAATCTCTGCTCACTGCAGCCTCGAACTCCCGGGCTCAGTGAATCCTCCTGCCTCACCCCCTTGAGTAGTTGGGACTACAGGAGTGCACCACCATGACTGCTAATTTTTGTATTTTTTTAGTAGAGATGGGGCTTCACCATGTTGCCCAGGCTGTTCTCTAACTCCTGGACTCAAGCAATCCATCTGCTTTGGTCTTCCAAAACACTAGAATTATAGGCATGAGCCACCACGCCCAGCCTGGAGTATTTCTTTCTTTCTTTTCTTTTTTTTTTTTTTTTTTTGTGAGACGGAGTTTTGCTCTTGTTGCTCAGGCTGGAGTGCAATGGCGGGATCTCGGCTCACTGCAAACTCCGCCTCCCGGGTTCAAGCGATTCTCCTGCCTCAGCCTCCTGAGTAGCTGGGATTACAGGCATGCGCCACCACACCCGGCTAATTTTGTATTTTTAGTAGAGACAGGGTTTCTCCGTGTTGGTCGGACTGCTCTCGAACTCCCGACCTCAGACGATCCGCCAGCCTCGGCCTCCCAAAGTGCTGAGATTACAGGTGTGAACCTCTGTGCCCAGCTTAATATTTTTAAATGTAACAAATATACCATACCAATGTAAGATGCCATTCATGGGTGAAACTGGATGCTGGGTATATGGCAACTCTGCACGATTGTCTCCACTTTTTTTTGTAAAAGTAAAATTATAGAATTATGCCGGGCATGGTGGTTTATGCCTGCAATCCCAGCACTTTGGGAAGTCAAGGCGGGCGGATCACTTGAACTCAGGAGTTGGAGACCAGCCTGGCCAACATGGTGAAACCCCGTCTCTACCAAAAATACAAAAAAAAATTAGCCGGGCGTGGTGGCGTGCGCTTGTAGTCCCAGCTACTTGAGAGCCTGAGGTATGAGAATCGCTTGAACCCAGGAGGCAGAGGGTGCGGTGAGCCAAGATCGCACCACTGCACTTCTGCCTGGGTGACAGAGCGAGACCCTGTCTCAAAAAAAAAAAAAAAAAAAAAAAAATATATATATATATATATATATATATATATACACATATATATATATGCACAAATGAAACATTTAAGGATAAAAAGATTCTATTTAAAGTGGTAATTTAGTGCATTTTATCACCTTTTGTATTAAAGCAAAAATGAAGGGTACAGTGTGGCAGATATCACAATATATTTACCAGTTATAGTACAGAATCCCAATGATTCTCTCGTTAAAGGACTAAAACATTTCATATAAATTATAAATTTCTCATAATTTATACATTTAATTTTAATTACTGGTGGCAAAAGAGTATTCTTTGCCTTGTTTAAAGTATAACTGAGTTGGGAAGCTCATTTTTACCCATTTTACTCACTTTAGACTTGAAAGTATTTTTTATTCTTGCTAGTCTCCCAAGACCTCCTGTCAAACTGAAATATATAACTTTTTTTCATTTTTGATCTTCGCATTTGTAAGGGATAAATAATTGATTAGCATAGGAATTATGGGAATATATTTAGCTTATGCTCAGCACTAAACTATTTTTAAATGTCCTCAGGCATCAACCCAAAATGTACATCCAAAGGGTGTCAATTGGAAATTGGGAAATGGAGTGACAGTATAGATTAGAACGATGAAATGGCAAATGCAACCGGAGGAATAGCAGTTGTCAGTTTCACTGCAACTTCAACAGTCAGTCTACCTTGCTGTATTTTTAAAAATTCCTTAAATGGGTCGGGTGCGGTGGCTCACGCCTGTAATCCCAGCACTTTGGGAGGCCGAGGCAGGCTGATCACCTGAGGTCAGGAGTTTGAGACCAGCCTGACTAACATGGTAAAACCCCGTCTCTACTAAAAATACAAAAATTAGCTGGGTGTAGTGGCAGGTGCCTGTATTCCCAGCTACTCGAGAGACTGAAGCAGGAGAATTGCTTGGACCCAGAAGGCAGAGGTTGCAGTGAGCCGAGATCGCACCTTGGCACTCCAGCCTGGGAGACAGAGTGAGACTCTATCTGAAAAAAAAAAAAAAATCCCTAAATGTCTCTCTGATAAGACTATAACCTCAGGTCAGGCGTGGTGGATCATGCCTCTAATCCCAGCACTTTGGGAGGCCGTGGCAGGCGGATCACGAGGTCAGAGGTTCGAGGCCAGCCTGGCCAACACGGTGAAACCCGTCTCTACTAAAGATACAAAAAATTAGCCGGGCGTGGTGGTGGGCGCCTGTAATCTCAGCTACTCAGGAGGCTGAGGCAGGAGAATCATTTGAACCCGGGAGGCAGAGGTTGCAGTGGGCAAAAAAAAAAGACTATAACCTCTTTGAGAGCAGAATCTTCCCTTCTAATTTCACAAAATTGTGTTGAAAGCAGAAACTTCAGACCAGGTACAGTGGTTCATGCCTGTAATCTCAGCACTTTGGGAGGCTGAGGGGGGCGGATCACTTGAGGACAGGAGTTTGAGACCAGCCTGGCCAACATGGTGGAACCCCATCTCTACTGAAAGTACAAAAATTAGCCAGGGGTGGTGGCATGTGCCTGTAATCCCAGCTACTGGGGAGGCTGAGGAAGGAGAATTACTTGAACCCAGGAGGCAGAGGTTGCAGTGAACACAGATCATGCCACTGCACTCCAGCCTGGGCCACAGGAGCAAGACCCCATTTCCAAAAAAAAAAAAAAAAAAAAAAGCAGAAACTTCAAAATGAATTGAAGAAAAAGTAAAATTTTAAAAACTTTATTTTAATATAAGATCACTTAACATGAGAGCTACGCTCCTAATACATTCTAAGTGGATAGGGTACTGGATAGGGTACTGTTAACTATAGGGACAATGTTGCACAGCAGATCTCCAGAACTCACTCAGCCCCCATCATCAAAACTTTATGCCTGTTAATTAGCTGCTCCCCATTCCCCCTCCGCCAGCTCTTGGCAGCCATCATTCTACTCTCTGATTCTTTGAGTTTGACTATTTTAGATGTCTCATATGCATGTAGTCATGCAGTATTTGTCCTTCTGTGACTAGCTTAATTCACTTAGCATAATGTTCTCCAGTTTTGTCCATGTCCTTGCATATTGCAGGATTTCCTTTTGTTTTAAGGCTCCACGATATTGCATTGTATGTATATACCACCCTTGCTTTATCCACTCATCCATCCATGGACATTTAGGTTGCTTCCATAGCATTGCTATTCTGAATAATGCTACAGTGAACACTGGATTAGGGTTGATTTCTAAATATATAAAGAACTCCTACAATTCAATAGCAAAGCAAAAACAGCAAATAACCTGGTTTTACAAAGTATATGGGACATGAACTCAAATATGAAGAAATTTTTTTTTTTTTTTTGATACGAAGTTTTGCTCTTGTCGCCCAGGCTGGAGTGCAATGGCACGATCTCGGCTCACTGCAACTCCAGCCTGGGCAACAAAGTGAAATTCTGTCTCAAAAAAAAACAAAAAACAAAAAAACAAAAAACCCAGTCTCTACTAAAAATACAAAAATTAGCCGGGTATGGTGGTGTGTTCCTGTAGTTCCAGCTACTGGGGACGCTGAGGCAGGAGAATCGCTTGAACCAGGGAGGCGGAAGTTGCAGTGAGCTGAGATCGTGCCATTGGACACTAGCCTTAGGCAACAAGACTGAAACTCGGTCTCAAAAACAATAAAGAATGAATGTGTTGAATATTGAATGGAATAAGAATGAACTAGAGCCCATCTTCCAACCATCTCAAGGCCTATGTTAAATTAACACTGGACTTGCCAGTGTCCCCAGGCTCCTGCGAAAACCATATGTAGATCTTCTCTAGCAAAAGATAACATCATGGCCGGGTGCTGTGGCTCACGCCTGTAATCCCAGCACTTTGGGAGGCCAAGGTGGGTGGATCACGAGGTCAGGAGTTTGAGACCATGCTGGCCAACATAGTGAAACTCCATCTCTAGTAGAGAGACGACAAAAATTTTGTCTCTAGTAGAGAGACAAAAAATTAGCCTGGTGTGGTGGTGTGTACCTGTAATCCCAGCTACCTGGGAGGCTGAGGCAGGAGAAACACTTGAACCCAGGAGGCAGAGGTTGCAGTTAGCCAAGATGGCGCAATTGCACTCCAGCCCAGGCAATAGTGTGAGACTCCACCTCAAAAAAAAAAAAAAAAAAAAAAAAGATAACATCATAGTGGAGCTGCCTGCCAGCCCCAGTGCAGGATCCACTGGGTGAAGCCAGCTGGGATCCTGAGTCTGGTGGGGACGTGGAGAACCTTTATGTCTAGCTCAGGGATTGTAAATACGTCAATCGGCACTCTGTATCTAGCTCAAGGTTTGTAAACACACCAATCAGCACCCTCTGTCTAGCTCAGGGTTTGTGAATGCACCAGTCGACACTCTGTATCTAGCTAATCTGGTGGGGACGTGGAGAACATTTGTGTCTAGCTCAGGGATTGTAAAGGCACCAATCAGCGCCCTGTCAAAACAGACCACTTGGCTCTACCAATCAGCAGGATGTGGGTGGGGCCAGATAAGAGAATAAAAGCAGGCTGCCCGAGCCAGCAGTAGCAACCCGCTCGGGTCCCCTTCCACACTGTGGAAGCTTTGTTCTTTCGCTCTTTGCAATAAATCCTGCTGCTGCTCACTCTTTGGGTCCACACTGCCTTTATGAGCTGTAACACTCACCGCGAAGGTCTGCAGCTTCACTCCTGAAGACAGCGAGACCACGAACCCACCAGGAGGAACGAACAACTCCAGACAAGCTGCCTTAAAAGCTGTTAACACTCACCGTGAGGGTTCACGGCTTCATTCTTGAAGTCAGTGAGACCAAGAACCCACCAATTCCGGACACAATAGTAGACTCAAGTTATTTCTTCAATACTTAAGACAATTATTATTTCTACTTACTTTACTCCTCATGAACCTATTTATTTATTTATTTTTGAGACAGAGTCTCACTTTGTCGCCTAAGCTGGAGTGCAATGGAGCGATCTTGGCTCACTGCAACCTCCGCCTCCCAGGTTCAAGTGACTCTCGTGCCTCAGTCCCCCGAGTAGCTGGGACTACAGGTGTCCTGACCTCAAGTGATCCACCGGTCTCAGCTTCCCAAAGTGCTGCGATTACAGGCGCCTGGCCTTCCTATTTACTTTTCATTGTGTGCAAGACATTCTGTAAAAATGTAAAAATAAAAAATAAATAGGCTCATGAGGAGTCAAATAAGTAGAAGTAATAATTGCCTTAATTATTGAAGAAATAATTTGAGTCTACTCTGATGTTACCTTTTGCTAGGGAAGATCTACATATGCTTTTGTCAGGAGCCTGGGGACACTGGTAATTCCAGTGTTAATCTAATATAGGCCTTGAGATGGTTGGAAGCTGGGCTTTAGTTCACCCTTATTCCTAGGGTCTAGCCCTTGAGTTTCCCAACCCAAAGCATGATTTTTTTCCCCCAAGATTTCCTCTCATTTGTAGGTCCTCCTCACCAGGCTGTTGAAACATCTGCTCAGCTTCTCAATCTTTCGAGACCTCATTAAACGCCCTGGGAGAACAGTAGCCCTAAAGCTGGGCTCATCTTCTTGGATTTACTTCTGTGGATCTCAGTCCTGTAACTCTTTAATTCTTTATTGTGTTGTGAGCTCCCCCAATGCCTTAAAGCAAATTATTCTTAGATTTTCTGCTGCCTTGCAGTTGTTTTCAGTGGAAGGGTGGTTCCTCATTATCTAGTCTGCCATTTTCAGAGATATCAAGCTCAATCCTTATGAAAATTTTATTCTTACCAAACAAGCTAATAGTAAATAAACAAAATACAGGGTTGCCTTTTTTTTTTTAATGTCACTTTCTGTTTCTTTAGTCATTGGTGAAGATGCTATTAAAGTACTTTCTAAATAACTGAGAAGCAAGGCAGATGGCCAAGCAAGATAAAGGAAAAGATCAGGTTAATTCACAAACTGTGTATTCAGCCTGAACAATGGAGATAAAAGAGATATTCCCCAAATTAGACTGAGCAGACATCCTCCTTTTTAAAGGGCAATCCCATTTTCAGTATTTATGTCTTATTTGTTCCCTGAGGCAAATGTCTCTTTATGCAAAGCATAAAGTAATCAGGTATTTCATCAGGTAGGAAAGAACTTGTTTTTTACTCCCTCTGTGACCTGGAGTTGTGCACAGCATATGTCACATCAGGGGTGTCAGCAGCACCAAGTTGAAGATTCAAGCAAGACAGGTGACCTTATAAAAAGGACTGTGAAGAGTTAGGCATCAAAACAAAACACAGCATTCTAAGCCTGGGCCACAGTAACTCAGCCAAAGTGGGCATGAGCTAAGGAGGCAAGATGGCATTGGCCATCACCAGAGGTCAGCAGACCTGGACAGGGCCACAGCAGCTGGAAGGAGCTTGGTGAGACACTGTAGCTGGGGCAGTCTGCTTTCATCTCCTTGTCCAGTGCCAGCCTCTTTCTCAATGGGACCAGCCCAAAGGAATGCAAGGGAAGGGGATTTCACACTGGCTTCTGTGGGCAAAGAGGGAAGTGGAGTTTTTTTTTTTTTCTTTTTTTTTGAGACAGAGTCTTGCTCTGTCGCCCAGGCTGGAGTGCAGTGGTGCAATCTCGGCTCACTGCAGCCTCGGGAAGTGGAATTTGATACCTCTCCTAACAGGTAATTGCAGCCTCCAGAAGCCAAAGCCAGGGTGGCATTTCCCCAGAGTGGATCCTATGTCTCTCCCTGGCTTGACAACTGCTTCAGGACAGGGATAATGTTTGTTGGTAAGATCTGCTATGGTGCTGATTTGAAACTGAAAAAGGGATTAAATGCACAAGCAGAAAAGCATAAGGAAAAAACCAACACAGGGTCGCGCCTTCTCTCCTGCCTCGGTCCAACAAGCACTGCTCATCCAGCATTGCTGTGCTCCTGAGAGGAGAAGGCCCTTTTCTCCCCTCCTCTGGAAGGAAACGGGGCAGAACAAGACAACCTCACTTCCCTTGCCTCTCTCGCCTCTTCTGCCTCTACCTAATAACCTACGAATAGCATCTCTAAATTAATAGGGAACTTAGTGATACCATCAGGACCCCATCCTTACTCAAAGTAGGAATTCCTTTTAAAAATTTGCGTCTCCTGGGCCGGGCGCGGTGGCTCACGCCTGTAATCCCAGCACTTTGGGAGTCCGAGGTGGGCGGATCACGAGGTCAGGAGATCGAGACCATCCTGGCTAACACGGTGAAACCCCGTCTCTACTAAAAATACAAAAAAAAATTAGCCGGGCATGGTGGTGGGCGCCTGTAGTCCCAGCTACTCGGGAGGCTGAGGCAACAGAATGGCGTGAACCTGGGAGGCAGAGCTTGCAGTGAGCCGAGATCATGCCACTGCACTCCAGCCTGGGCGACAGGGCAAGACTCCCTCTCAAAAAAAAAAAAAAAAGAAAAATTTGGGCCTCCTGGTTGACAAGACCCTGTTTAAGTGCTGTCAAAGTCAGAAAAACTGTTAGGACATTCCTTTATTTTTGTTTTATTGTATATTAAAATACACGCAGAGCCTGGCATGGTGGCTCACGCCTGTAATTCCAGCACTTTGGGGGGCTGAGGCAGGCGGATCAATTGAGGTCAGGAGTTCGAGACCAGCCTGGCCAACATGGTGAAACCCCTTCTCTACTAAAAATACAAAAAAATTAGCTGGGCCTGGTGGCACGTGCCTGTAATCTCAACTACTCAGGAAGCTGAGGCAGGAGGATCACTTGAACCCGGGAGGCAGAGGTTGCAGTGAGTCGAGATCGCGCCACCACACTTCAGTCTGGTAGACAGAGCAAGACCCTGTCTCAAAATAAATAAATAAATAAGGCCGGGCGTGGTGGCTCACGCCTGTAATCCCAGCACTTTGAGAGGCCGAGGCGGGTGGATCATCTGAGGTCAAGAGTTCCAGACCAGCCTGGCCAACATGGGGAAACCCAGTCTCTACTACAATACAAAAAAATTAGCCGGGTGTGGCCAGGCGCGGTGGCTCATGCCTGTAATCCCATCACTCTGGGAGGCAGAGGCGGGCAGATCACGAGGTTAGGAGTTCGAGACCAGCCTGGCCAATATGATGAAACCCCGTCTCTACTAAAAATACAAAAATTAGCCAGGCCTAGTGGTGCGTGCCTGTAGTCCCAGCTACTCAGGAAGCTGAGGCAGAAGAATCGCTTGAACCTGGGAGGTGGAGGTTGCAGTAAGCCAAGATCACATCACTGCACTCCAGACTGGGCAACAGAGTGGGACTCTGTCTCAAAAAAAAGAAAAAGAAAAAAGAAAAAATATATATACGTAAAATAAAATAAAATAAAATAAAATAAAATACATGCAGAACAAAAGAGTGTGCTGGGCGGGCCATTCCCCACCCTTCTTCAGTCTCCCTGTGGCAACCATTGTCAGGTTCTGTGTGTGTGTGTGTGTGTGTGTGTGTGTGTGTGTGTGTGTTTGAGATGGAGTCTCGCTCTGTCGCCCAGGCTGGAGTGCAGTGGCGCCATCTCGGCTCACTGCAAGCTCCACCTCCTGGGTTCACGCCATTCTCCTACCTCAGCCTCCCGAGTAGCTGGGACTACAGGCGCCCGCCACCATGCCCAGCTAATTTTTTGTATTTTTTTAGTAGAGACAGAGTTTCACCATGTTAGCCAGGATGGTCTCAATCTCCCGACCTCGAGATCCGCCTGCCTCGGCCTCCCAAAGTGCTGGGATTACAGGCGTGAGCCCCTGCGCCCAGCCTCCATGTGTTTTTAATAGGAGGGTTTTGTACACGTGGAATATGATAAAACACACTTCCTTCAACCAGCACCACACATATATTTTTATACAAAATGACAATAGGCTGGGCATGGTGGCTAACACAGTACATCAGGAGGCCAAGGAGGGAGGACACTTGAGGCCAGGAGATCATACCAGCCTGGGCAACATTGCAAGACCTCATCTCTACAAAAAATAAAATAAATTAGCCAGGCATGGTGTCACGCATCTGTAGTCCCAGCTACCCAGGAGACTGAGGATGGCTTCAGCCCAGGAGTTCAAGGCTGCCGTGAGCTATGATCACACCACTGCCCTCCAGCCTGGGTGACAGTTCGAGATCCTGTCCCAAACAACAGCAACAATAAAAATGACAACATAATTGTGGATCAAATTCCATTTTTTTTTCTTTTGAGATAAGGTCTCACTCTGTCACCCAGGCTGGAGTGCAGTGGTCTCAGCTCACTGCAGCCTCAAGCTCCCCAGCCTCAGGTGATCCTCCCATCTCAGCTTCCTGAGTAGCTGGGACTGCAGGTGTGTGCCACCATGCCCAGCTAATTTTTGCATTTTTTTATAGAGAGAGGGTTTCATCATGTTGCCCAGGCTAGTATTAAATTTCATTTTGAGCACTCAAATTGACAGAAAGTTGTACCTAAAATTGAACTGGCCAGGCACAGTGGCTCACGTCTGTAATTCCAGCACTTTGGGAGGCCGAGGCGGGCGGATCACGGGGTCAGGAGATCGAGACCATCCTGGCAAACACAGTGAAACCCCATCTCTACTAAAAATACAAAAAAATTAGCTGGGCGTGGTGGCGGGTGCCTGTAGTCCCCGCTACTTGGGAGGCTGAGGCAGGAGAATGGCGTGAACCTGGGAGCCGAGATCATGCCACTGCACTCCAGCCTGGGCAACAGAGCGAGACTCCGTCTCAAAAATAAATAAATTAATTAAATTAAATTAAATTGAACTAAAATCTTGGTGGATTTCAAGTGGTTAGTCTTTGTTTTGGCTTCCAGAACATCATAGAATGAGTGGAGCTCTTCTATGCAGCGACGGCTCTGCAAAATTTTCCAGACAGCGATTGCTTTTCTCCTCTAACGTCTACCTCTCTCTCCCATCCCTGTACCACATGATTCATTGCCAGCCAAAATATTTCCAGTTTTTTTTTTAACAATTCCTCCTGTGGCATTGTGGAATTGAAATAATTATATGTATTTCTTGCCAAAGAAAAACATTCAGAATAGGAAGTTTGCTTTGAGTTAGATAAAACAAGTTAATTACTTTTGGTGAAAGGTTTGTTTGTTTGTTTTTGCTATTATAGCATCATTATGCTATTATATAGCATATATTATGCCATAACACTAGGTTATAGAGTGAAGACTTTCCATATCTGAATTATCTGTATTTTGCCTGTGTAAATAAGATAATCAGATACTCATGTGATTTTTTTTTTCCAGCTGGAAAAGTAGACTTTAAAAATCAAGATAACTTTTTTTTTTTGACAGTTTCAAATTTTGCTCTTTTGCCCAGGTTGGAGTGAAGTGGCGTGATCTTGGCTCACTGAAACATCTGCCCCCCGGGTTCAAGCGATTCTCCTACCTCAGCCTCCCAAATAGCTGGGATTACAGGCGCCACCACCACACCTGGCTAATTTTTTGTATTTTTGGTAGAGATGGGGTTTCACCATGTTGGCCAGGCTGATCTCGAACTCTTGACCTCAGGTGATCCACTCGCCTCAGCCTCCCAAAGTGCTAGGATTACAAGCACAAGCCACTGCACCTGGCCAACTTAAAAAATATATAGAGTACACCTAAATTGAAAAAAGTTTCAATACATTTTATGGTATGGCATGTTTATAGATAGTATCAAATTTACTAATTGAAAAGAAAATACATGGACTAAATGAAAAGAAAATATAAATCCCCAGCTATATAAACTCTCCATTAACCTGAAACTGGCTAACTATAATAATCAATAAATTTGCTGGGTGCAGTGGCTCATGCCTGTAATCCCAGCACTTTGGGAGACCGAGGTGGGTGGATCACTTGAGATCGGGAGTTCAAGACCAGCCTGGCCAACATGGTGAAATCCCGTCTCTACTAAATATACAAAAATTAGCCAGGCATGGTGGCGGGTGCCTGTCATCCCAGATACTCAGGAGACTGAGTCAGGAGAATCGCTTGAACCTGGGAGATGGAGGTTGTAGCGAGCCGAGATCGTGCCACTGCACTCCAGCCTGAGCAACAGAGCAAGTCTCCATCTCAAAATAATAATAATAATCAATAAATTAGGCTTTCTTCCTCAGAGTTATGCAAGTGTAGCTACTTCAAGATTTGTATTTATCAAAGAATTTGTGCTTTGACATAAAGATCAAGACACAAAATTGCAGGAGATATTTCAGGACAGGTGGAATTTCCTAACTTCTTAAAATGCATGAGCAAGGGTGTTACATATGGTGAACCCCAGTTTCTCTTCAAAGAACCAGTATGTCAGTATGTTCAGCTCTCTTATTCTTTGATTCTCCATTTTAAAGTTTAACTTCCTGGTTCTCTTAGCCCCCTTCCTTCTAGTTTCAGTAAACAACTTTCCCACCAGTCCTAACCAGTAGTTCACAGCGGTCCCCTGATCACCTGCTTTAACCTAAGTCACCTTTAGTTACCTGTTCCTAACCATCCTTCCTGCCAAAGTACTCACCCTGCCACTCCAGCTCGTATTCCTGTTCTCTTTAAAATAGCCAATCAGAATTAGCTTAGACTGTGTGGTCCAACCCTAGCCAATATGGGAATGACACAGCAGTAGGGGCTACTTGTGTCAGGAATAAGAACTCCTGCCCCTCCCCTGTTCAGGTGTGCTCTTGCCATTGTTCCATCTACAAGAAGCACCCTTTCTGCAGAAAGTAAAAATTGCCTTGCTGAGAAAATTAAATTTATGTTCGAGTGCTATATCTTTGTGGCACTGAGGAATAAGCATTTTGCATTTCTAGCAAAGGGTAAAAAACACTGTATTTGAATCAGAAGACTTGGGATTGTGTCCCAGATTTGCCTCTTTTAGTTTTTAATGTATTTGAACTGCAGTTTCCTCATAATGTCATCATCATCATTAACTATTTAGTGAGCATTTACTATATGCCAGTCACTGTACTAAGTGCTTTACAGAGATGATCTATGTAATCTACACATCAACTCTATGAGGTTCATGCCTTTATTAACCTTGTTTTACAGATGAGAAACAGGCTCAGAGGGGTTAACCAGCTTGCCCATGGACACTCAACCCTGAGAGAGAGTTGAAATTCATATGCAAATAGCCTGAGCCTTGCCTCTCCCATTCCAGAGGTAATTCTGGTATACTTTTTTGTAAAGTTCCTTCTTGTTTGTACATCCTTCAATCTATTCTACCTTACACAGTCAGCCAGGTCTTCTTTCAAGATACTTCTCAGATGATTCTCTTCTAAAAACCATAACTAGCTTTTGATTTGCATATGTGAAACTTCACATTTTCTAACCTGGCATTCAAGATATTTTATAATGTGCTCCAATTCATCTTTGGAGACACAGCTCCTAGAGATTTACCTGCTGCCAATTGAACTTAGTGAAAAGCCTCTCAGGTGTCACCTGTCCCCTCACTCTTTTTTTTTTTTTTGAGACGGAGTCTTGCTCTGTCTTGCCCAGGCTGGAGTGCAGTGGCGTAATCTTGGCTCGCTGTAGCCTCTGCCTCGGGGTTTCAAGCGATTCTCCAGTCTCAGCCTCCCGAGTAGCTGGGACTACAGGCGTGAGCCACCACACCCGGCTAATTTTGTATTTTTAGTAGAGACAAGGTTTCACCATGTTGGCCAGGCTGGTCTCAAACTCCTGACCTCGGCTTCCAAAAGTGCTAGGATTACAGATGTGAGCCACCACACTTGGTATTTTTTTGTTTTTTGTTTTTGTTTTTGTTTTTTAAGCAGAGTTTCGTTCTTGTCTCCCAGACTGGAGTGCAGTGGCATGATCTCGGTTCACTGCAACCTCTGCCTCCCGGGTTCAAGCAATTCTCCTGCCTCAGCCTCCTGAGTAGCTGGGATTACAGGCACCTGCCACCATGCCTGGCTAATTTTTGTATTTTTAGTAGAGATGGGGTTTCACCATATTGGCCAGGCTGGTCTCAAACTCCTGATCTCAGGTGATCCGCCTGCCTCAGTCTCCCAAAGTGCTGGGATGACAGGTGTGAGCCACCGCCACCGGCCAGGTGTCACCCTTTTGTGAAACCAGATTATTCCTGTCCACAGGGATCTCTGCCTACCTAAATGGAAATCCTAAGGCAAGGACAGTGAAATTATTGTATTTCCCTAAATGTAACATTACATATAGTTATTTGTGTGCATGAATTATCTCCTTTATTATCCTATAAGATGATAGAGACCAATGTATAGAAAGCTATGTATAGCTCTTTCCAAACCCATTTTGGGAGCTCAGGGAGTATTTCCAAAAGACATAGATTGCCGGCTTTTCCCAGAAATGGGACCTGCAGGGAGGTGTGGCCCCTGAGGGGGTGGAATCGCTGAAGCTCGGGCAGATAGCAGTGGAAGCTAGACTATTACTAGCTTCTTTCAGTATCACTTCTACTTTGCTTTGCTAACAAAAGAAAGCTGTTAAGCCTCCGGCCATAGGAATCAAATGGAAATGTCCCTCCCTTCTAGGCAAAGCTAGTGCCCTGGGCTTCGTTGCATTGCAAGTTTACTGGAAAAAAAAATTTGAGCTTTTATTCAGTATTTATACAGTCATTCCCTAGAATCTCCTTCATCCGGTCTTAAAACTAGAATTTGACACAGTGGGTTTAGGTTGAATGGTTTAGGCAACCAAATTAATCATGGCAGTCAAAAGTCCCTTTGCATTTTTCTTTTACAGTCCTCCCATAAAGTTAATATATTTAAATGGTTGTGAGATAGACAATTAAGCATGGCCCTTTACCTTTTTACAGTAAGGGATCACAGCAAGTGGGACGGAGAGAGAGAAAAAGAAATTCCTTGACGTGTGTCCTTGCAAACAGACAACTAGCCAACGCTGCCTCCTAGTGTCTAAGGTAGACACTGCCTGAGGGATTTGGATGTGAAGCTGTGGTTTGTTGGAGGGGAGGTTTTGCAGTATATATGAATATCTATTAACTGGCCAGCACAAGCAATGGATTAAAAAGTTTAATCACTGTGGGGCGTGGTGGCTCACGCCTGTAATCCCAGCACTTTGGAGGCAGAGGTGGGTGGATCACCTGAGGTCAGGAGTTCGAGACCAGCCTGACCAACATAGCGAAACCCCATCTCTACTAAAAATACAAAAATTAGCCGGGTGTGGTGACGGACACCTATAATCCCAGTTACTTGGGAGGCTGAGGAAGGAGAATCACTTGAACCTGGGAGGCAGAGGTTGCAGTGAGCCGAGATCGCGCCATTGCGCTCCAGCCTGGGCAACAAGAGGGAAACTCTCTCAAAAAAAAAAAAAAAAGTGTAATCATAAAATGGATCCCAAGCAAGGAACTTTTGACTTTTTGTGACCAGATTCAAACCAGGTCTACACACTCACACGCCTTCATGAGCCTGGCAGGTGGACGTGACATCCCGGGAGTGGTAAAGGCATGCCCCGCATGAAGGTGCTCAGTTTCCTCAATGTTTAAAACTTCGTGTGAGCCCAGAAACATTTCTGAGGACCACATCACTAGGGCACAAGTTTACATTTAAAGGATTTTAAATAGGAGAAAAGAGATTTTCTTTCTCTTGGAGCTTCTTTTTAACTCTAAGAAGTTGCCAAACCTACTGAACTCTGCTACTGAGTTTGCGAACATGAGATACTTGTTTTCCCCAGTGTGTGCCACAGCACAATAGGTGACACAGGCTCTCGTAACCTCCGCTGGCGTTGTGGGTATGTGACCCATACAAACGGGCCCCACGCTTAGGAGTCCCACACTTGGTTCAAGACTTCAGTTGCTATCTTGAAATTCTGAATGCTTTCTGACCAGGGGACATGCATCTTCATTTTGCACAGGGAACTGTGAATTATGTGGCAGGTCTTGGATGTAATAGAATTTGCTACCTTTGCTTCTGTTCTCTTCTGCCTATTTCCTGCCCATCGTCTATGTTTTTGGTTTGGTGCTATGCCCTAAACCTTACCCAGAAAAAAGAGTCTTGGCAATGGTAACAGAAATCTGCCCCATCTTTTGCCTCCCAACTCCAGAGGAGTTTGTGTCCTCTTTTGATTTTATTTTTTTATTTTTTATTATTTTTAATACAGGGTCTGGCTCTGTCACCCAGCCTGGAATGCAATAGCGCAATGATGGTTCACTGCAGCCTTGACTCCTGGACTCAAGAAATCCTCTTGCCTCAGCCTCCTAGATAACTGGGACTACAGGTGCACGCCACCGTGCCTGGCTAATTTTTTATTTTTGTGGAGACAGGGTCTCACTATGTTACGCAGGCTGGTCTTGTACTTCTGGGCTCAAGCAATCCTCCCCACTTGGTTTCCCAAAGTGCTGGGGTTAAGTCATGAGCCACTGCACCCCAGCCGCGTGTCCTCTGTTGAAGTGCACCTGCCAGGGTCACCACACAGTGACGATAGCAAGGCCTGTGCATCCTCACGGTTTGTTTTGTCATCACTTAGTGGCTCCTTTCCAGTTACCATGTTTATACCAGCACTATCTTTTTTTTTTCTTTGAGGCAGAGTCTCCCTCTGTTGCCCAGGCTGGAGTGCAGTGGCATGATCTCGGCTCACTGCAACCTCCGCCTCCCTGGTTCAAGCGTTTCTCCTGCTTCAGCCTCCCAAGTAGCTGGGACTACAGGTGTGTGCCACCGCGCCCAGCCAATTTTTGTATTTTTTGGTAGAGACAGGATTTCACCATGTTGGCCAGGCTGGTCTCGAATTCCTGACCTCAAGTGATTCGCCTTATAATCACTTGTGTGCTCGTCTGATGTGATGGCATGGTAAGAAAATGAGACTGGGCCGAGCGTGGTAGCTACTGCCTGTAATCCCAGCACTTTGGGAGGCCGAGGTGGGCGGATCACCTGAGGTCAGGAGTTCGAGACCAGCCTGGCCAACATGGTGAAACCCTGTCTCTACTAAAAATACAAAATATTAGCCGGGCGTAGTGGCAGGCGCCTGTAATCCCAGCTACTTGGGAAGCTGAGACAGGAGAATCACTTGAACCCAGGAGGCAGAGGTTGCAGTGAGCCGAGATCACGCTGTTGCATTCCAGCCTGGACAACAAGAGCAAAACTGTCTCAGAAAAAAAAAAAAAAAGAAAAGAAAAGAAAAGAAAATGAGACTGGTTTCCAGAAGCCATTCAATAGAATCAGCCTCAGGTTTTCTTCTTTGTATATAGTCACATGAACTAGCTGATTAGACATCTGCCGTTGGGAGACAGTTTGAGGGGCATTACCAACACTTTTGCAGACCAATAATGAACATTCCCAGTGACCCAGAACAAACTCCCAGTAACCCAGAAACCACTTTTCAGTGACTGCAAGAAGAAAAGCTCTACCGTAAAAAGCAGAAAGCTTTCTAAATGACCATAGAATCACCTTTGGAAAAGTTGCCTTAGGGCCAATTTTAGAAGTAGACAGGTTCTCAGTATTAGGGCCTTAATGACACAATTACCACCACCCTCCTTATTTAGTCAGATTCATTAAGCTCTTGGTTTCCATGAACTAAATCCAGCCCTTTTGTTGGTAGTTGAGGTAATAAATGGTAAATGGCACCTTTCTCTAGCACCCATTTGATTAGTTTAAAATGACCTCATACTAGTGTCACAGACTAGTGTGACTCAGCCTGATGTCATCAACTCCTCTTAAATGACTGCTAATTCCCCATGGCAATCAGCACCTTCCCAAAAGCTTCAGCAGAGAAGAGTCTTAAAAGCCTTTTGTTCTAACTTCTTTTTTTTGGACATCGTACAATAGGCTTTAGCCTTGGGTTAATTGTCTCTGTGGACATAGTAAGTCTTTAATGTTTAGTGTCTTGCATGCGAACAACTTGTTGAGAATAAGCCACCCCTTCGGTTCCAGTTTTTAGTAAAAGCTGTCTTCTAATAAGACTGAATGGAATAAAAAAATCAAAATCCAAGAACCAGTTTACTCTGTTAGAGAATGTTAGTCAGTGTTCCAGTTCATGAATTATTAATAATAACACCTGACATTTGTCTTGTTCTTCTCCCTTCATCAAAGCACTTTCTCATTTATTATCTCATTTGACCTTGCCGTGCACCTTTCAGACAATGGGGAAGGCACTGTCACAGCAGGGACTAGCGAGATGCTGGTGAGTGGTGGAGAATGCCACATTTAGCAAGAGGTAGATGCTTAGAAATCTTTCTCAAAATCAGCAAGTAATACCTTAAAATAAAAAAAAAAATGGGCTGGTGATCTGGGAAATAGAGGAAACAGGGGCAAAGAGAAGCAGGAAAGAGGAGAAAAGGGAAGGAAAGAGGGAGGGAGGAAAATTTATATTAATGGACATCAAATCTCAACTCTCCAAACCTGAAGGGAAACATAGTAGTTTTTTAAAAGAATTAATGGATGTTAGTTTTAAATGGACACCTTCCTCTTTTTACAGAAAATTTCTGGGCTGTTTGACATCACCACTGAGAGCAGCTAGAATTTGAATGGCGGGGATACTTTAAAAGCTCAGAACTATAGCCAGGCGTGGTGACTCACTCCTGTAATCCCCAGCACTTTGGGAGGCTGAGGTGGGTGAATCGCTTGAGCCCAGAAGTTCAACACATCTGGGCAACATGGTGAAACTCCATCTCTACCAAAAATACAAAAATTAGCCAGTCTCATAACCTGGTCTCAAAAAAATAAAATGAAAGCTCAAAAGTGTAAAATCAGAGGACAAAAGCATGCACATAGGGAAAGAGTATGTCTGTGTAACAGCCAGGGTCCAACTGACCTTAAGGGACAATGATTCATCTGCTGTGTAAGGTCCCATCCTTGGATTTTACAGTATCTGTAGCTACCCCCATCTCATTCTTTTTTTTTTTTTTTTTTGAGACGGAGTCTCGCTCTGTCGCCTAGGCTGGAGTGCAGTGGCACCATCTCGGCTCATTGCAACCTCCGCCCCCTGGGTTCAAGCAATCTCCTGCCTCAGCCTCCCTAGTCACTGAGATTACAGGCACCTGCCACCACAGCTAATTTTTGTATTTTTAGTAGATGCAGGGTTTCGCCATGTTGGCCAGGCTGATCTTGAACTCCTGACCTCAGGTGACCCTCCCGCCCCAGCCTCCCAAAGTGCTGGGATTACAGTCGTGAGTCACCGCAGCCGGCCATCTGATTCTTCTTCATGGGCAGTAACCTGCCGCCATGTGGTGAGAATGATCTTTTACCCACACCGTGGGCGCTAGCTTATTTCTCTGTGACTTAGTCATGCCTGGCCTATTACCTAGTTGAATAGATCTGCGCTGTGTTTGACTCTCAAGTAAAAACACATTCTAAGGTTGATTTTGAGGCAGGAGAATATGGCCTAAGGCGCAGGAAACCTAAGGACTTCCTAGAACTAAATCAAATGGAAACACTCCAGCTATGGCAGGAAATATCCTCTTCATTTACATAGGGTATACACCAAGTAAATAACTTTGTAACTGCAGTTTAGCCTCTTCATTTACATAGAGCGTACACCAAATAACCAATGGAAACCTCCAGAGGGTATTTAAACCCCAGGAAATTCTGTAACCAAGCCCTTGAGCCACTTGCTCGGCCGCTCCCACCCTGTGCAGTGTGCTTTCATTTTCAACAAATCTCCGCTTTTGTTGCTTCATTCTTTCCTTGCTTTGTTTGTGCGTCTCGTCCAATTCTTTGTTCAAAACGCCAAGAACCTAGACACTCTCCACCTGTAACAATTTGGCAATCTGACAAGATTGAGAATTGGTGTTGACAATGAGATGTTCAAAAATAATATGTGCTGGGTCCGGCGCGGTGGCTCACGCCTGTAATCCCAGCACTTTGGGAGGCCGAGGCGGGCAGATCACGAGGTCAAGAGATCGAGACCATCCTGGCCAACATGGTGAAACCCTGTCTCTACTAAAAATACAAAAATTAGCTGGTCTTGGTGGCAGGCGCCTGTAATCCCAGCTGCTCGGGAGGCTGAGGCAGGAGAATCGCTTGAACCTGGGAGGCAGAGGTTGCAGTGAGCCGAGATCGCACCACTGTACTCCAGCCTGGGTGGCAGAGCTAGACTCCATCTCAAAAAAAAAATAGTGATAATGATAATATGTACTGGATATGTGTCCTGATAGGGTTTCCTCAAGTAGCCTGGCTGGCTAGAGAATAACAATCAATCAATACTCAGTTGTTTATTGAGCATTTTATTTTGTGTTCTATATGGTAATAGGTGCCAGTAATAAAGGCTTACATTTAACAAGTGCATCATTGGCTTCTAAATCATGTTCATAATTGTTTTCCCGCAATCTCATTACCTCTGAGGTGGGTGACAGTGTAGGTATCATTCACTCCTTTTGGCATGTGAAGAAATGGGCACTCAAGGATGAAGGGACTTGATAGAGCCTCTGTTTTCTATTAATGACCAAGATGTGCCAAGATATGACCTGACCCTTCCCTTCCTTTCCCTTCCCTTCCCTTCCTTCCCTTCCCTTCCCTCCCCTCCCCTCCCCTCCTTTCCCCTTCCCCTCCCTTCCCCTCCCTTCCCCTCCTCTCCCCTCCCTTCCCCTCCTCCCCCCTCCCCTCCCCCTCCCTTCCTCTCCTCCCCCCTCCCCTCCCCCTCCCTTCCCCTCCTCTCCCCTCCCTTCCCCTCCTCTCCCCTCCCCTTCCCCTCCCTTCCCCTCCTCTCCCCTCCCTTCCCCTCCTCTCCCCTCCCTTCCCCTCCTCTCCCCTCCCCTCCCCCTCCCTTCCCCTCCTCTCCCCTCCCTTCCCCTCCTCTCCCCTCCCTTCCCCTCCTCTCCCCTCCCCTCCCTTCCCCTCCCCTCCCCTCCCCTCCCTTCCTCTCTTCTCTTCCTCCCTCCCTTCCTTCCTTCCTTCCTTCCTTTTCTTTATTTTTTTTTGAGACTGAATCTCATTCTGTCACCCAGGTGGGAGAGCAGTGGCATGATCACAGCTCATTGCAGCCTCATTCTCCTGGGCTCAAGCGATCCTCCTACCTTGGCTTCCCAAAATCCCAAAATGCTAGGATTACAGGCATGAGCCACCGCAGCCAGATATGACCTGTTTTTTTTTTTTTGTTTTTTTTTTTTTTGAGATGAAGTCTTGCTCTGTCACCCAGGCTGGAGTGCAGTGGTGTGATCTTGGCTCACTGCAACCTCTGCCTCTCAAGTTCAAGCAATTCTTCTGCCTCAGCCTGCCGAGTAGCTGGGACTACAGGCCTGTGCCACCATGCCTGGCTAATTTTTGTTTTTAGTAGAGACAGGATTTCACTGTGTTGGCCAGGCTGTTCTCGAACTCTTGACATCAAATGATCTGCCCGCCTCAGCCTTTCAAAGTGCTGGGATTACAGGTGTGAGCCAGCGCACCCGGTCCAGATATGACGATTTCTGTTGACTCCCACTGCCTAGATATTTCACCTAGAAAGATTTGTGTTGTTTTTATTTTGTTTTTTGGTTTGTTAGCTATGGAATCTTTATACCTAACAGGGTTGGGGAGGGAACTGCAGACTCTTGATCAAGAGTTTCAGTTGGAATGAAAGGTCAAATTGTAACAGAGCTTTAACCCAATTGGTAGACAAATTTGTAGGGTAAATATGAAATGATAAGGAAATGAGTAAGGATATATTAGCATGGTAACTAAGGACTGGAAATTATGGGAGTTTATGTGTAACTTTATTCTTTTTTATTATTTTTTTTAGGGAATAGAACATGCATTTAGTAGTTTCGTTTCAATGAATTTTTATATATGTGTACAGTGATGTAATCCCCATCCCAAACAAGATATAGAATATTTCCAGCTGGGTGCAGTGGCTCACACCTGTAATTCCAGCACTTTGGGAGGCCGAGGCAGGTGGATCACCTGAGGTCAGGAGTTCAAGACCAGCCTGGCCAACATGGTGAAACCCTGTCTCTACTAAAAAAAAGTACAAAAATTAGCCAGGCATGGTGGTGCACGCCTGTAATCCCAGCTACTCAGGAGGCTGAGACAGAAGAATCGCTGGAACCCGGGAGGCGGAGGTTACAGTGAGCTGAGATCATGCCACTGCATTCCAACCTGAGAATGTTCTTTTATTTTCTTCCCAGTCAATATCCACTCTCCCCATCCAGAGCTAAGAGCAATTCAGAATTCTATAACCATATATTAGTTTTGCCTATTCTTAGCCTTCAGATAAATGGAACCAGACAATTCCTACTTTTTGTGTCTGTGTCTTTTGCTCAACATCATAGCTGTGAGATTCATCTTGTTGTATATGCAGCAGTCATTTTTAATGGTTATGCAGTGTTCTATTGAATGACTATGCCATTATTTATCTATCCATTTTACTGTGAATAGATATTTGAGTTATTTCCAGTTTTGGGTTTTTATAAAAAAGCCACTATGAAGATGTTTGGGGTTTTTTTTTTTGAATGTTTTTGAACTTTGAATTTTAAGTTTTGTAAGTATATAGTAGATGTATATATTATATTTATGGGGTACATGAGATAGTGTTTTTTGTTTGTTTGTTTGAGCCAGAATCTCACTCTGTCACCCAGGCTGGAGTTCAGTGATGCGATCTCGGCTCACTGCAACCTCTGCCTCCTGGGTTCAAGCAATTCTCGTGCCTCAGCCTCGCGAGTAGCTGGGGCTACAGGTGCCTGCCACCACGCCCTGCTAATTTTTGTATTTTTAGTAGAGATGGGGTTTCACCATTTTGGCCAGGCTGGTCTCAAACTCCTGACCTCAAGTGATCTGCCCACCTCGGCTTCCCAAAGTGCTGGGATTACAGGCATGAGCCACAGTGCCTGGCCCATGAGATATTTTGGTATAGGCGTGCAATGCATAGTAACCACATCATGAAAAATGTGGTATCCATCCCCTCAAGCATTGATCCTTTGTGTTAGAAACAATCCAATTTTACTCTTTTAGTTATTTTAAAATGTACAATTAAATTATTATTGACTACAGTTATCCTGTTGTGCTAATACTAGGCCTTATTCATTCTTTTGCTATGAACATTTTCATACATGTCTTTTGAAGTATGTGTGTTTCCCTCATCTTGGATATATACTTAGGATTGGAACTGCTGGGTCACAGAGTAGACATATGTTAAAATTTAGCCATTACTGTCAAACAGTTTTCCAAAGTGGCTGTATTGATTTACACTTACACCAGCAACATCTGAGATTTCAGCCTCAGGAACACTTGTTCCTGGACCCAGACGCTCAATCTGATTGAGGTGGGATTCCTTTGGCAGAGCTAGAGGTGGTATTTTGTTCTTTCATCAGACAACACATAATATCTGTTTTTCTCTCTTCTTTCATGTTAGCAGCTACTGAGACCCAGTGTCTAGATCTATCAGTTCATTAGAGGTTGCAAAATGGTGACATTCTAATTCTTTAATCTATAAACTGAAATAATTTCTTCTTTTTTTTTTTGAGATAGAGTCTGGCTCTGTCGCCCAGGATGGAGTGCAGTGGCGCAATCTTGGCTCACTGAAACCTCCGCCTCCCGGGTTCAAGCGATTCTCCTGCCTCAGCCTCCCAAGTAGCTGGGATTACAGGCGCGTGTCACCACACCGCTTGGCTAATTTTTGTATTTTTAGTAGAGACGAGGTTTCCCTATGTTGGCCAGGCTGGTCTCGAACTTTTGACCTTGTGATCTGCCTGCCTCAACCTCCCACAAAGTGCTGGGATTACAGTTGTGAGCCACTGCGCCCAGCCTGAAATAACCTTTTTTTTTTTTTCTTTTTTTGAGACAGAGTTTCGCTCTTGTCGCCCAGGCTGGAGTGCAATGGTGTGATCTCGGCTTACCGTAGCATCTGCCTCCCAAGTTGAAGTGATTCTCTTTTCTCAGCCTCCTGGGTAGCTGGGATTACAGTCATGCACCACCACGCCCAGCTAATTTTGTATTTGTAGTAGAGATGGAATTTCTCCATGTTGGTCAGACTGGTCTCAAACTTCCGACCTCAGGCAATCTGCCCACCTTGGCCTCCCAAAGTGCTGGAATTACAGGCGTGAGCCACCGCACCCAGCCTGAAATAATTTCATAAGAAGCTACCCCTGGGCCAGGCGCAGTGGTTCACGCCTGTAATCCCAGCATTGTGGGAGGCCGAGGCCAGGAGATCACTTGAGGTCAGGAGTTGGAGACCAGCCCGGCCAATATGGTGAAACCCTGTCTCTACTAAAAGTACAATAATTAGCCAGATATGGTGGTGCAAGCCTGTAATCCCAGTTACTCAGGAGGCTGAAGCAGGAGAATCCCTTGAACCCGGGAGGTGGAGGTTGCAGTGAGCTGAGATAGCCCCACTGCACTCCAGCCTGGGCGACAGAGTAAGACTGTCTCAAAAGAAAGGAAAAAAGAAGCTACCCTTCACCTAAGTACCTCATTGGTAAAGTTCTTACAGGAAAGGCAGGATACATGTTTGATTATTTCCTTTTATTTGCTAAGTTTTCAAATAATGAATTAGTTTCTTATTATCCTCAGAAGGTAACCAATTAAAAACATATATTATTGTGGCTGGACACACTGGCTCACGCCTGTAATCCCAGCACTTTGGGAGGCCGAGGTGGGCAGATCACTTGAGGTAGGGAGTTCAAGACCAGCCTGGCCAACATGGTGAAACCCCGTCTCTACTAAAAATACAAAAATTAGCTGGGTGTGGTGGCTCACGCCTGTAATCCCAGCTACTCAGGAGGCTGACGCAGGAGACTCTCTTGAACCTGCGAGGCAGAGGTTGCAGTGAGCAGAGATTGCGCCACTGCACTCCAGCCTGGGTGGCAGAGTGAGACTCTGTCTCCAAAATCAAATCAAATAAAATAAAAATAAAAACATATATTATTGTGAATTTATCTATTTAAGCATAGTTGTTGATTGTTTATGGTTTTCAGAGACAGGGGCTCGCTGTTTCCCAGGCTAGAGTGCAGTGGCAGGATTATAGTTCGCTGTAATCTCAAACTCCACTCCTCCTGCCTCGGCTTTCCAAAGCACTGGGATTACAGGTGTAAGCCACCATGCCCGGCCTACGTGCTGGATTTTAATTCATTCTAATTCCTATTTTTCCTGAAACTCAAATGGTCCAGTCTCTGGCCACCGTGGGCTTCTTTAGGTCCTTTTGCCATAACTTTAGTGGTCTTTCATAGTGTCCTTGCTTTCTGATATGTCAAGATGTTCCAAGCTTATCTTGTACATTTCCTGCCTCAGATTGGGAACTAGCCATTTCCTGAAGATGCTCTGATTTATTTATGTATTTATTTATTTATAAAATGAGACAGGGTCTCACTATGTTGGCCAGGGTGGTCTCAAACTTCTGGCTTCAAGCAATCCTCTCACCTTGGCCTCCCAAAATGCTGGGATGAGAGATGTCAGCCACCGCGCCTGGCCTTGCTCTGATTTATTTCAATGGGAAATAGTTTGCAAGACTATGATCTAAGAAGGAGACATGCTTTCTCCTACTGGGTTGTTCATTGTCTCTTGACTTTTCTATTGGCTAGAACTAAAAATTATATATTTAAAGATAAAAATACCTCATGAGCTCATATTAATATTTAAAATACAAATTTTGGACTACAGTGGTTTTCCTTAACCTCTTTTATATTGCATTTGTATCTTATTTCTTCCACAGCAAGGATTTTGGTTCTCAAGGGAATGATGGAATTAGAATAGCCCAAACTTACTCAAGGAATTAAAATATCCCACAACTAAACACAATACTGTCAATATAAAAATAATAAATAGATAAATAAATAAATAAATATATATATATATATATAGAGAGAGAGAGAGAGAGAGACAGAGTTTCACTCTTGTTGCCCAGGCTGGAGTGCAATGGCGGGCGAGATCTTGGTTCACCACAACCTCCACCTCCTGAGTTCAGGCCATTCTCCTGCCTTAGCCTCCCAAATAATTTTTTTTTTTCAATGGAGTCTTGCTTTTTTGCCCAGACTGGAGTGCAGTGGCACGATCTTGGCTCACTGCAACCTCCACATCCTGGGTTCAAGCTACTCTCCTGCTTCAGCCTCCCGAGTAGCTGGAACTACAGGTGCACGCGCCACCACACCCGGCTAATTTTTTATATTTTTAGTAGAAATGAGGTTTTGCCATGTTGGCCAGGCTGGTCTCAAACTCCTGGCCTCAAGTGATCCGCCCACCTCGACCTTCCAAAGTGCTGGGATTACAGGCATGAGCCACTGTGCCCAGCCACACTTGGTCTTCATTCTACAACTAACTATATTTAGTTGTACATGTTCACTGTTCACTCCAGTGTCTATATCTAGACATTCTGGTGTTGGGCGCTCCATCTCTAGTAGCTTCCTTAGGAAGGGCTAATGAGAACCATATTCCCGGTGGAGGTTTGTGCCATTTGTGCTTGAGGATTGGTTTTACTGACAGAAAATCCTTGGCTCACAAGAATCTAGTTCGTTTTCTTCTGGTATGAAGTATCACTGCCAGTAGTTTGATTAGAATCTAGTTTTCTTTCTTTTTTCCATCATATGTGTTTTACCTATATGTTCAATGGAGGGTTTTTAAAGTTCTGTAGTTTTACTAAAATATACTTTGGTGTGACTTATTTTGGTCAATATTTTCAGGTGCAGGGGTTTTTCTCTTAATATGCAGTTTTAAACCTTTTAAAATTTAATCTCAGGAAAACTTTCCTGATTTATATTATTTACTATCTACTTTGGTTTTCTTTTTTTTTCTTTTACTTACTTGTGTATTTATGTATTTATTTATTTTTTGGGGTTTCGCTCTTTCTGCTCAGGCTGGAGTGAAGTGGCGCGATCTTGGCTCACTGGAACCTCCATCCCCCGGGTTGAAGCGATTCTCCTGCCTCAGCCTCCTGAGCAGCTGAGATTATAGGCACCCGTCACCACACCTGGCTAATTTTTGTATTTTTAGTAGAGACGGGGTTTCACCATGTTGGCCAGGCTGGTCTCAAACTCCTGACCTCAGGCGATCCACCTGCCTTGGCCTTCCGAAGTCCTAGGATTACAGGCGTGAGCCACAGCGCCCGGCTTTTTTTTTCCTTTTAAGTTTTTTTATTTTTAATAGAGACAGAGTCTCCCTGTGTTGCCCAAGATGGTCTCAAACACCTGGGCTCAAGTGATCCTCCCACCTCAGCCTCCCAAGTAGCTGGGACTACAGGCATGTACTATTGTGTTCAGCCAGGGTTTTTTTTGTTTTTGTTTTTGTTTTTGTTTTTGTTTGAGATGGAGTCTCACTCTTGTCACCCAGGCTGGAGTGCAATGGAGCGATCTCAGTTCACTGCAACCTCTGTCTCCTGGGTTCAAGCTATTCTCCTGCCTCAGCCTCCCAAGTAGCTGGGATTACAGGTGCCTGCCACCACGTTTGGCTAATTTTTGTATTTTTGGTAGAGATGGGGTTTTACCATGTTGGCCAGGCTAGTCTCGAACTCCTGACCTTAGGTGATTGGCCCACTTCAGCCTCCCAAAGTGCTGGGATTACAGGCATGAGCCACTGCATCCAGCCATGTTCAACTAATGTTTTAAATCTACTTTTTGTAGAGACAGGGTCTCACTATGTTGCTCAGGCTGGTCTTGAACTCCTGGGCTCAAGTGATCCTCTCACCTCAGACTCCTAAAGAGCTGGAACTACTGTACCAGCCTTTGTCTATTTTTTTTTTTTTTTTTTTTTTGTCGAGACGGAGTTTGGCTCTTGTTGCCCAGGCTGGGGTGCAATGGCACGATCTCGGCTCACCGCAACCTCCACCTCCCGGGTTCAAGCGATTCTCCTGCCTCAGCCTCCTGAGTACTGGGATTACAGGGATGCGCCACCACACATGGCTAATTTTGTATTTTTAGTAGAGACGGGGTTTCTCCATATTGGCCAGGCTGGTCTCAAACTCCCGACCTCAAGTGATCTGCCCACCTCGGCCTCCCAAAGTTCTGGGATTACAGGTGACTTCTACTCTGTTCTTTTTTTTGTTATTATTGTAAATTTTCTCAAGAATTTTTGGTTTCACTGTATAAGTTGCTCTGTTGGTTTTTACGTGGGGATTTGGAACATACAAAAACTCTGCCCAGGGCTGGGCACGATGTCTCACGCCTGTAATCCCAGCATTTTGGGAGGTCGAGGTGGGTGGATCGCTTGAGCCCAGGAGTTGGAGAACAGCCTGGGCAACATAGTGAGACCCCCATCTCTACAAAAAATACACCAAAATTAGCTGTGCATGGTGCTGTGTGCCGGTGGTCCCAGCTACTCAGGAGCCTGAGGTGGAAGGATCACTTGAGCCTGGGAAGTTGAGGCTGCAGCGAGCCGTGATAGCAGCACTGCACTCCAGCCTGGGCGACAGAACAAGACCCTGTCTCAAACAAAACAAAACAAAACACCAACTCCGCTGGCACCACTGCCACCAGCTCCCCCAAGCCCACCTCCTTGGAATTTTAGTCCATTTAAGTCCTCATTTCCATAGCTCTCCAAGACCTTTAAAAATGTATTCTGTGGCTGGACGTGGTGGCTCACGCCTGTAATCCCAGAACTTTGGGAGGCCGAGGTGGGTGGATCACCTGAGGTCGGGAGTTTGAGACCAGCTTGACCAACATGGAGAAACCCCATCTCTACGAAAAATACAAAATTAGCCGGGCGTGGTGGCACATGCCTGTAATCCCAGCTACTCTGGAGGCTGAGGCAGGAGAATCGCTTGAACCCAGGAGGCGGAGGTTGCGGTGAGCCGACATTGCGCCATTGCACTCCAGCCTGGGCAACAAGAGTGAAACTCCATCTCAAAAAAAAAAAATGTATTTTATAATTTATCCTTTTTATCTAGGTCTTGCAGTAGAAGTGACAGCCTGCCACTACCAACAACATTCTATGCAGCTGTGAAACTCTTGTCTTTTTATCCTGCCTATTTAATATATTTTCTGGCCAACCATGGCAGCAGTTTTAATGTTTGCTTTGTGATGTGATTCTTGAGGACACATTTGGAACACATTCATGACTTGAGATGCAGGCTATAGATTAGGAGAGAAAAGGCTCTGGATTCAGAAATCCTCTTCAGAGCGAAGAAACATGAAAATATGAATGTATTACACAATTTTATAAAATACTCCCATGGAACCTTCACCAAGCTTCTTTCTACAGAATCCTGGTGAATTGGTTCACAGGGCTTGAAAGCCGCCACCTGTGTTTGAATTATATCCTAGGACTCACTTCTTCCGTGTTGGCTTCACCTGAGCCTCAGTGCTCGAGCAGTTGCCAGGGCTGTGGACTTCTCTACTCTTTTTTTTTGAGATGGAGTCTCGCTTTGTTGCCCAGGCTGGAGTGCAGTGGTGCGATCTCGGCTCACTGCAGCCTCTGCCTCCTGGGTTCAAGCAATTCTCCCACCTCAGCCTCCTGAGTAGCACGCCACCACGCCCAGCTAATTTTTGTATTTTTGGTAGAGACAGGGTTTCGCCATGTTGGCTAGGCTGGTCTTGAACTGCTGGGCCCAAGTGATTGGCCCGCCTTGGCCTCTCAGTGCTGAGATTACAGGCGTGAGCCACCGCACCTGGCCTGAGGCCTCTTTTTTTTTTTTTTTTTTTTTTTGAGACGGAGTCTGGATTCTCACTCTGTCGCCCAGGCTGGAGTGCAGTGGTGCGATCTTGGCCCACTGCAACCCCCGCCTCCTGGGTTCAAGTGATTCTCCTGCTTCAGCTTCCTGAGTTGCTGGGACTACAAGTGCCCGCCACCACAGCTGGCTAATTTTTGCATTTTTAGTAGAGACAGGGCTTCCCCATGTTGGCCAGGTTGGTCTCAAACTCCTGACCTCAGGTGATCTGCCCACCCCGGCCTCCCAAAGTGCTGGGATTACAGGCGTGAGCCACCGCGCCCGGCCTCTGAGGCCTCTTTCTAAGGGCACTAATCCCATTCATGAGACTCCACTCTCATGCCCTAATCACCTCCCAAAGGCCCCTCCTCCAAATACCATCACACTGGAGATTAGGTTTCAACACATACATTTTGGGGAGCCACAAACATTCAGACTATAGAGGCGGAGAATCTGGGATAGGCCAAGGGAGGGGGTAATGTTAGCAAGGAGAGGATTTCAAAAGGGAGGAGCAAAGATGTAAAGCAACGTTTTGCGGTGGTAGATTGCAAGGCGCACTCAGGCTGCTGAAGAGGTGAGGCTGGAGATGTAGGCAGGTCACGGAGAACTGGATCACTACTTTTTTTTTTTTTTTTTTTTTTTTTGAGACGGAGTCTCGCTCTGTCGCCCAGGCTGGAGTGCAGTGGCGGGATCTCGGCTTACTGCAAGCTCCGCCTCCCGGGTTCACGCCATTCTCCTGCCTCAGCCTCCCAAGTAGCTGGGACTACAGGCGCCCGCCACTACGCCCGGCTAATTTTTTGTATTTTTAGTAGAGACGGGGTTTCACCGTTTTAGCCGGGATGGTCTCGATCTCCTGACCTCGTGATCCGCCCGCCTCGGCCTCCCAAAGTGCTGGGATTACAGGCGTGAGCCACCGCGCCCGGCCGGATCACTACTTTTATTTTCATTTGTTTGTAGAGATGGGGTCTGGCTTTGTTGCCCAGGCTGGTCTTGAACTTCTGGCTTCAAGTGATCCCCGCATCTCGGCCTCTCAAAGCACCTAGGATCACAGGTGTGAGCTTTGGAGTGATCCTCACGTGATGAACATGATCAGATTTCAGTTTCCCCCGGAAGACAGAATGGAATTTGGGAGATTATTCAGGAGGAACATTTGCAAAAGCTAAGGTAGGAGAATGAGGGTATGAACCAAGGCTACAGCATGGAGTGGATACATAGAGAGGATATACGTATTCGGTCGGGCAAGGTCGGGCACGATGGTTCACACCTGTAATCCCAGCACTTTGGGAGGCCAAGACGGGTGGATCACCTGAGGTGGGGAGTTTGAGACCAGCCTGACAAACATGGAGAAACCCCGTCTCTACTAAAAATCCAAAAAAAAAAAAAAAATTAGCCAGGCATGGTGGCACATGCCTGTAGTCCCAGCTACTTGGGAGGTTGAGGCAGAAGAATCGCTTGAACCCGGGAGGCAAAGGTTGCAGTGAGCCAAGATAGCACCATTACACTCCAGTCTGGGCGACAAGAGCAAAATTCCATCTCATAAGGAAAAAAAAAAAAAAGATGGAAGACTAACAAGAATTGAATGTAGACTCTGGAGAAGAGTAAGGGGATGGTAAGAAAAATTATCCAAAATTGAAAGCAAGGTAAACAGGTAAACCACACAGCTCGTCAATGACATATAAGGACAAAGGTCCATCCAAGAGGGACAATTTAGGGAATATACTTTGCTCAGCCACTAGGTACTATTGATTAAAGTTCTCAGGCTCAGAGAAGTTGCCTGTAACTTAGAGATTCTTGTCTGGTAGAAATGCAGGCTGGGGGCTGTGACTGGTGCCTGTAATCCCAGCACTTTGGGAGGCCAAGTGTGGGAGGATCGCTTGAGCCCAGGAGTTCAAGATTACAGTGAGCCATGATTGTGCCACTGCACTCCAGCCTGGGAGACAGAGCAAGACCTTGTCTCTAAAAATAACCCCCCACAAAATCCAGAACCAGAAAGGCCAGGCATGGTAGCTCATGCTTGCAATCCCAGCACTTTGGGAGGCCAAGGTGGGTGGATCACCTGAGCTCAGGAGCTTGAGATCAGCTGGGCAACATGGCAAGACCTCTGTCTCTACAAAAAATACAAAAATTAGCTGAGTGTGATGGCACGCATCTGTAGTCCCACCTACACAGGAGGCTGAGGTGGGAGGATCGCTTGAGCCCAGGAGGCAGAGATTACAGTGTGCTGAGATCACACCTGTCTGGGTGACAGAGTGAAACTGGGTCTCAAAAAACAAAACAAAACCCAAAAAACAGAACAAAACAAAAAGAGATGCAAATAATTTTCATGCAGCAGAAAAGAAAACCCCAAAGGTTATGGTCTGGTGCCCTCTAGGATATTAACCAGTTTTGGATCCATCAATTTTATCCTAATATTTATTTATTAATATGATTATAAATACCTAGCTCCTCATTTGTCCTTTGAACCAGTCTTCACATCTTACTATTTTCCTCACTAATGAGTTGAATAAAATATTTGACAAGTGTTAATTTTAATTTTATTATTTATGTATTTATATTTAATTTTTTAATTTTTTTTTGAGACAGAGTTTAGCTTTTTTTGAGATGGAGTTTAACTTTTTTTTTTTTTTTTTTTGAGACAGAGTCTTGCTCTGTCGCCCAGGCGCGATCTTGGCTCACTGCAACCTACGCCTCCTGGGTTCACACCATTCTCCTGCCTCAGCCTCCCAAGTAGCTGGGACTACAGGCGCCTGCCACCACACCTGGCTTATTTTTTTATATTTTTAGTAGAGACAGGGTTTCACTGTGTTAGCCAGGATGGTCTTGATCTCCTGACCTTGTGGTCTGCCCACCTTGGCCTCCCAAAGTGCTGGGATTACAGGCGTGAGCCACCGCGCCTTGCCTGGAGTTTAATTTTCTGGAGACGGAGTTGTCCAGGCTGGAGTGCAATGGTATGATCTCAGCTCACTGCAACCTCCGCTCCCCAGGTTCAAGCAATTTTCCTGCCTCAGCCTCCCAAGTAGCTGGGATTACAGGCATGTGGCCACCATACCGGTTAATTTTGTATTTTTAGTAGAGATGGGGTTTCACCATGTTGGCCGGGGTAGTCTTGAACTCCTGACCTCAGGTGATCCACCTACCTCGGCCTCCCAAAGTGCTAGTATTACAGGCATGAGCCACCACTCCTGGCCATATTTATTTATTTTTTTGAGACAGAGTCTGCCTCTGTGGCCAAGTGCAGTGGCGTGATCTTGGCTCACTGCAACCTCTGCCTCCCAGGTTCAAGCGATTCTCCTGCCTCAGCCTCCTGAGTAGCTGAGATTATAGGCACGTGCCACCACACTCAGCTAATTTTTGTATTTTTAGTAGAGATGGGGTTTCACCATGTTGGTCAGGCTTGTCTTGAACTTCTGAACTCAAGTGATCCACCCACCTCAACCTCCCAAAGTGCTGGGATTACAGGCAGGAGCCAACGCGCCCAGCCTTGTTAAAGTTTCTAAAAACTCTGTATTAAAGGCATTTTTTTTCTTAAAAAGTGATTGTGGATTGATGGTTTAGCTTGTGATTAGGAAATATTGTACTATTTTAGTTGTGCTTTATTTACATCTATGTTAAAATTTATATTAACTAAGCAAGTCTAATTTTCCGTTTATCCACTGAAGACACTGACCAACATTAGAGTGCTTTCAATAGTTGACAGCAATCAACTTAAAAGCACAATTATGAGAATAAAGCTTGTCAATTCTTTTTAATTTTCTTCTCCAATGGAGTGTTTTGATGGCTAGGTTGAGTGAAGCAAAAGACATATATTTTGATTTTATTTGAGCATTTAAGTTTCATATTTTGAATAACACAGTCAAGCACAGCTATTAGCTATTAATTTTTTTTTTTTTTGATGCAGGGTGTCTCTTGCTCCATCTCTGAGGCTGGAGTACAGCAGTGCGTTCATGGCTCCCTGCAGCCTCTACCTTCCAGGCTAACGTGATCCTCCTGCCTCAGCCTCCTGAGTAGCTAGGAGTACACGTGTGTGCCAGCACACCCAGCTAATTTGTTTTTAATTTTTTTTTTTTTTTGTAGAGACAGAGTCTCTCCATGTTGCCCAGGCTGTGCAGCTATTAATTTACAAAAAATTTTTTAGGCCAGGTGCATTGGCTCATACCTGCAATCCCAGCACTTTGGGAGGCCAAGACAGACAGATCACTTGAGGCCAGGAGTTTGAGACAAGCCTGGCCAACAGGGTGAAACCCCGTTTGTACTAAAAATACAAAAATTAGCTGGGTGTGGTGGTGGATGCCTGTAATTCCAGCTACTTGGGAGGCTGAGGCATGAGAATTGCTTGAACCCGAGAGGTGGAGGTTGCAGTGAGCTGAGATCACGCCACTGCACTCCAGCCTGGGCTACAGAGTGAGACTCTGTCTCAAAAAAAAAAAATTTTTTTTTTTTTTTTTAGCTAAGCATGGTGGCTCACACTTGTAATCCCAGCTATTAATATTTGGGAGGTTGAGGTGGAAGAATCACTTGAGGTCAGGAGTTTAAGACCAATCTGGGCAACATAGTGACACTCTGTCTCAAAGCAAAAAAAAAAAAAATTCTTTTGAAAGCATTAAATGCCTTGGGGTACATATCATTGTACATACGATGTTATGACATCATAAAGTAGAGCGAGTACACGGTCCCTTGATAGTTCTGCATCTGGATTTTCAGGGTTACTCAGCTTATTTTTCTTCTAGTGGAGTGATATTTTAAAAATCATTAGGACTTTCACTTGAAGGTGAGCTGAGAAAAATGCAATGAAAGAAGTTAAAAATTAATCTGGTTTATTTTACTGCTTTTTAATATTTTGGAGTATAAATCATTATAATAAATGGTCAGTTAAAATAAATGATTTCTCCCTCATTGCAACTGATAGCTGAATGTGAGCTGAAAGGTTATGTACGTGCAAGCAAATGCATTCCTGGTAGAAGAAATCATTTGAGCAAAGACCTACAATTTCTTGTTCACTATTTACAGGCAGTGATGAAACCAGAAACTTTGGGAGGTCTATTTCAGGAGAAGCAGATAAGTAAGATACTTCTTGAAGGCTGGGCATGCTGTCTCACGCCTGCAATCCAGCACTTTGGGAGGCCGAGGTCGGCAGATCGCCTGAGGTCAAAAGTTTGAGACCAGCCTGGCCAACATGTTGAAACCCCATCTCTACTAAAAACACAAAAATTAGGCTGGGTATGGTGGCTCACGCCTGTAATCCCAGCACTTTGGGAGGCCGAGGGGGTTGGATCACCTGAGGTTGGGAGTTCGAGACCATCCTGACCAACGTGGAGAAACCCCGTCTCTATTAAAAATACAAAATTAGCTGGGCGTGGTGGCACATGCCCGTAATCCCAGCTACTTGGGAGGCTGAGGCAGGAAAATGGCTTGAACCTGGGAGGCAGAGGTTGCGGTGAGCCAAGATCATGCCATTGCACTCTAGCCTGGGCAACAAGTATGAAATTCTGTCTCAAAAAAAAAAAAAAAAAAAAAAAGCCGGTCATGGTGGCAGGTGCCTGTAATTCCAGCTATTTGGGAGGCTGAGGCAGGAGAATCGCTTGAGCCTGGGAGGTGGAGGTTTCAGTGAGCCGAGATCATGTCATTGAACTCCAGCCTGGGCAACACGAGTAAAACTCCGTCTCCAAAAAGAAAAGATACTACTTGAAGATCTTTGTCCACATTTTCTCCAGGTTGTTTTTTCTCCATCAGAGTAAGATGCCCATACTTCCTGTCAACGTGGTGCATTGCTGGTGGCAGTTCTGCTTTAACTCCACGCTGGAAGCTTCTAGAATGTCAAATGTTGGAGAAGCCTAGTTATTGAGGTGGCAAAGGGGAAGAGTTAATGCCAACAGGCAAATGCACTGCCTATATTTAGAAAAAGAGGAGAAGGGATGTAACCAGAGATTATAGTCCAGTCCACTTAATTTTCATTTCTAAAATGTCCAAAAAGTCACTTTAAACATATCAATTTTTTTTGTTTTTTGTTATGTTTGTTTTTTGTTTTTTTGTTTGGAGACAGGGTCTCGCTCTATCACCCAGGCTGGAGTGCAGCGGCGTGATCTCGGCTCACTGCAACCTCCGCCTCCTGGTTCAAGTGATTCTCCCACCTCAGCCTCTCCGGTAGCTGGGACTACAGGCATGTGCCACCACTCCCAGATAATTTTTGTATTTTTTGGTAGGGGCAGGGTTTCACCATGTTGGCCAGGCTGGTCTCAAATTCCTGACCTCAAGTGATCCGCCTGCCTCAGCCTCCCAGAGTGCTGGGATTACAGGAGTGAGCCACCAGACCTGGCCTCAAATGTTGGTTTTGTAAGGGACACACTTTATCAGACCAATCCCACTTTTATTCCATAATGATGATTAATTACTGGAACGGCTTGGAATAGGTATGAGGCTATTCAATTTCAGTGAATTTTTGCCTTTATATTCTGAATAGTAATATAATTACTGGTAGGTTGTGAAATATTTAGAACTTATTGATATAAGGTCGACATATACCATGAAATTTTATTATCTGGAGTTTAGTATGTGTAAGGACACACATCCCTTGCAGAAATTCTGAAGTCCAAAACAGCCCTCAAAACAAAGTTTTTTGCTCAGCATGTGGCAAACTTTTTGACTGCAAAACTTGGCTTGAAGTGATATGAGACTATTTTAGTCTTTATCCTACTTAGTGTGAAAGCCCATGTGTTTCACTGCAAAAGGATGAGCGTGATTGCTTATAAGGTGTCACTGCAGACCTTGCTGATGCGATGTAAGGGTCTCTATACGTACTGTGTTTCCTTCCCGAAGTTCAAACCATTCTGAATTCTGAAATGCAAACTACTAAAGAATATGGATAAAGCATTGTGGAAAAATATTAAATTTTTTTGGCTTTGTTATTTTTATTGTTATCTATTTTTTGGTAGAAATGGTATTGTGTTTATTTTTCGGCCTCACTATGTTGCCCAGGCTAGTCTTGAACTCGTGGGCTCAAGTGATCCTCCTGCCTTGGCCTCCCAAAGTGCTGGGGTTACAGGCATGAGCCACTGTGTCCAAACTTGTTTTTTTAAATAAAGAATTAGAAAGCACAAATAAAATTTATGAAGGACACTAAGTTTCTTTTTTTTTTTTTTTTTCCCCAAGACGGAGTCTCGCTCTGTCACCCAGGCTGGAGTGCAGTGGCGCCATCTCGGCTCACTGCAACCTCCGCCTACCGGGTTCACGCCATTCTCTTGCCTCAGCCTCCCGAGTAGCTGGGACTACAGGCGCCTGCCGCCACGCCCAGCTACTTTATTTATTTTTAGTAGAGATGGGGTTTCACCATGTTAGCCAGGATGGTCTTGATCTCCTGACCTTGTGATCCACCCACCTTGGCCTCCCAAAGTGCTGGGATTACAGGCGTGAGCCACCTCGCCCGGCCGAAAAACACTAAGTTTCTAGAGGTGGATTAGTATTCACCTCCTTTTCACTTAATAGAATTAAAGGATTTGTTAATTATTATTAAAGGCTGGGTCTCATTCTGTTGCCGAGGCTGGAGTGCAGTGGCACGATCATAGCTCACTGTAGCCTCAAACTCCCGATCCCAATGTGTCGGGAATTGGTGGGTTCTTGGTCTCACTGACTTCAAGAATGAAGCCGCGGACCCTCACGGTGAGTGTTACAGCTCTTAAGGTGGCGCGTCTGGAGTCTGTCCCTTCTGATGTTCAGATGTGTTCGGAGTTTCTTCCTTCTGGTGGGTTTGTGGTCTCGCTGGCTCAGGAGTGAAGCTGCAGACCTTCGCGGTGAGTGTTACAGCTCTTAAGGCAGCGTCTGGAGTTGTTCCTTCTTCCCGGTGGGCTCCTGGTCTTGCTGGGCTCAGGACTGAAGCTGCAGATCTTCGCGGTGAGTGTTACAGCTCATAAAAGCAGCGTGGACCCAAAGAGCCAGCAATAGCAAAATTTATTGCAAAGAGCGAAAGAACAAAGCTTCCACACAGTGGAAGGGGACCCGAGCAGGTTGCTAATGCTGGCTCCGGCAGCCTGCTTTTATTCTCTTATCTGGCCCCACCCACATCCTGCTGATTGGTAGAGCCGAGTGGCTTGTTTTGTCAGGGCGCTGATTGGTGCATTTACAATCCCTGAGCTAGATACAAAGGTTCTCCACCTCCCCATCAGATTAGTTAGATACAGAGTGTGGACACAAAGGTTCTCCAAGGCCCCACCAGAGCAGCTAGATACAGAGTGTCGATTGGTGCACTCACAAACCCTGAGCTAAACACAGGGTGCTGATTGGTGTGTTTACAAACCTTGAGCTAGATAGAGTGCCGATTGGTGTATTTACAATCCCTGAGCTAGACATAAAGTTTCTCCACGTCCTCACCAGAGCAGCTAGATACAGAGTGTTGATTGGTGCACTCACAAACCTTGAGCTAAACACAGGGTGCTGATTGGTGTGTTTACAAGCCCTGAGCTAGATATAAAGACTCTCCACGTCCCCACCAGACTCAGGAGCCCAGCTGGCTTCAGCTAGTGGATCCCGCACCGGGGCTGCAGGTGGAGCTGCCCGCCAGTCCTGCGCCGTGCGCTCGCACTCCTCAGCCCTTGGGTGGTCGATGGGACTGGGTGCCATGGAGCAGGGGGTGGTGCTCGTCGGGGAGGCTGGGGCCACACAGGAGCCCATGGAGTGGGTGGGAGGCTCAGGCATGGCGGGCTGCAGGTCCCGAGCCCTGCCCCGCGGGAAGGCAGCTAAGGCCTGGTGAGAAATCGAGCACAGCACCGGTGGGCTGGCACTGCTGGGGGACCCAGTACACCCTCCACAGCCACTGGCCCGGGTGCTAAGCCCCTCATTGCCCGGGGCCAGCAGGGCTGGCCGGTTGCTCCGAGTGCGGGGCCCGCCAAGACCACGCCCACCCGGAACTCCAGCTGGCCCGCAAGCGCCGCATGCAGCCCCGGTTGCCGCTCTCGCCTCTCCCTCCACACCTCCCTGCAAGCTGAGGGAGCCGGCTCCGGCCTTGGCCAGCCCAGAAAGGGGCTCCCACAGTGCAGCGGTGGGCCGAAGGGCTCCTCAAGTGCCGCCAAAGTGGGAGCCCAGGCAGAGGAGGCGCCGAGAGCGAGCGAGAGCTGTGAGGACTGCCAGCACGCTGTCACCTGTCACTAAGTGATCCTCTCACCTCAGCCTCCTGAGTGGCTGGGACTACAGGCATGTGCCACCAGAGCTGGCAAATTAAAACAAATTTTTTTTTGTAGAGATGAGGTCTTGCTTTGCTGCCCAGGCTCATCTTGTTTGAACTCCTGGGCTCAAGCGATCCTCCTGCCTCATCCTCCCAAAGTGCTGGGATTACAGATGTGAGCCACCCAGCCCAGCCCATAGAATTTAAAGGATTTTTAAGTAGGATCTAGTCCAACCCCTTCATTGTACAAATGAGGTAGCTGAGATCTAGGGAGGCTACGTGATTGGCTGAAGCTCCCATATTTTGAAATTGATACAGAGCCAGAACCTTCTGAATGATTTTGCAAGTCCCTGCCTATAAATAGCCCTGTCCAGCTACAGAAATAAAAATCTGTAGCCTTTAAGTGTGGTCCTGCCTAATCCCTGAGTAAAAAAAAGAGAGAAAGAGAACAAGAACAATCAAGATTCCCTTCGTCCCATAGGTGCAAAAGGATTTATTTATTTATTATGAGGAATTTGTTTTGTCACCTTCATGCCCGGGGCCTCGGGTACTGTGGTTGGGGCTGAGGTTCAGCAGCCCACAGAGCAGCCCCTTCTCAGGGGACCCTGGCCCTCAGCCTGCTTGGTTCTTGCCTGAGGCTTGGGTCACATGGGGTCTTTACAACCTGACTAGTGCCTGGCATCTTCCTCTCCCTGGAGCACTGGTCTCCAAAGTGGGGTTTATGTAAGACAATTCACGGAGGTTGCAGGAAAAACAAAGAATAATGCTTGTGACCGGGTGCAGTGGCTCACGTCTGTAATTCCAGGATTTCGGGAGGCTGAGGCCGGTGGATCATTTGAGGTCAGGAGTTCAAGACCAGCCTGGCCAACATGGTGAAACCCTGTCTCTACTAAAAATAGAAAAAATTAGCCAGGTGTAGTGGCGGGTGCCATAGTCCCAGCTACTCGGGAGGCTGAGGCAGGAGAATTGCTTGGATCCAGGAGGTGGAGGTTGCAGTGAGCCAAGATTGCACCACTGCACTCCAGCCTGGGCGACTCAGGGATTAGGCAGGACCACACTTAAAGGCTACAGATTTTTATTTCTGTAGCTGGACAGGGCTATTTATAGGCAGGGACTTGCAAAATCATTCAGAAGGTTCTGGCTCTGTATCAATTTCAAAATACGGGAGCTTCAGCCAATCACACAGCCTCCCTAGATCTCAGCTACCTCATTTGTAAAATGATTGAAACTCTGTCTCAAAAAAAAAGAATAATGCTTGTGTCTATTTTTTAAATATACAGAAATGAAACAAGGCTTTGATGATTTGTAATTGACAGATGGACACGGGTACTCTCTTGGCCATGTGCCACTGATGGAAAGTGACAAAGGATGGGTTGCTTTTGGCACCTCGCGCTGGTCAGTGGTCTGCGTGGCCTTTTATGTGTATTGTATTATCTTAAGTTGTGTGATCTTTACAAAGGTTTGTGGTGAGTTGGGAAATGACCTTGAAAATCTATACATGAGTTCATTGGGTGTTTCATTGGAAGGTACTTCCAGGAGTCTTGATATTTAGGGATGAACCATTAATTTCTCCACTTTTGTGAAGTATCATTTCTAGCCTTGCCAGCAAGGTTCAGTAATGAAAACAAGTGCAGAAGTAACTGGATTTGATACCAGCCTTCAAATAACTGTGCCATCTTGGTAAATAAAGATCTTATGAAACAGTGAAGCATAATCAATCACAAAACAACTTTTTTGTTTCATTAATACAGGAAATGGAATGAGAATTTAAAGTAATATTTGTTTCAATCTTTTACATTTTATCATTTATATATGTTTTATTTATTTATTTATTTTGAAACAGTCTCGCTCTGTCACTCAGTCTGGAGTGCAGTGTCACGATCTTGGCTTGCTGCAACCTCTGCTTCCTGGGTTCAAGCAATTCTCCTGCCTCAGCCTCCCAAGTAGCTGGGATTATAGGTGCGCACCACCATGCTCAGCTAATTTTTTATTTTTTTTTGAGACAGAGTTTTGCTCTCATTGCCCAGGCTGGAGTGCAGTGGTGTAATCTCAGTTCACTGCCTCAGCTTCCTGTGTAGCTGGGACTACAGGTGCACACCACCATGTTCAGCTAATTTTTGTATTTTTAGTAGAGGCAGGGTTTCACCACATTGGCCAGGCTGGTCTTGAACTCCTGGCCTCAAGTGATCCACCCATCTTGGTCTCCCAAAGTGCTGGGATTACAGGCGTGAGCCACCGCACCCAGCCACTTTCATTGTTTTTCTCTTGTCAACTGTAGGTAATCCCAGTGAGGACTATAAATATCACTGAATTACTATGGAGGTGGGCTGCTGCTATAGGCTGTGTGGAAATACTTTTGATGATGTGTTTGCATGTATATTTCTTGGGAGGAACTCCTGTTTAATATCCCATGATGAAATGCTGAGAATCTGCCAGGCGCTGTGGCTCACACCTTTAATCCCTGCACTTTGAGAGGCCGAGGTGGGCGGATCACCTGAGGTCTGGAGTTCGAGATGTTAGAAACAAATGCTCGTTCCTCAGTGCGGAAAAGAAGAACTAGCACTCAGACAAAGAATTTTCTCAGCAAGGCAATTTTACTTTCTGCAGAAAGGGTGCTTCTTGGAAGTCTGATTGCCATGAGAGCACCTTGAACAAAGAAAAGCAGAGGTTTTTATCCCTGCTGCATTGGGTCCTTACTGCTGTGTCCTATCTCCATTGGCTGGAGCTGGACTACACAATCTAGACTGATCCCAATGGGCTAAAAACTTAAAGCTTTCCTAAATAGGTAAATGCTCGATGGAGAACAAAGAAAGGAAAGGGGTTGTTTATGGGAAACTAGGAGAACAATAACATTTCCAAATAAGGAAGGGGTGTAGGCTGTAAGCTGGGAAATGCCTGGTCATGTTCAGACATGTCTCAGCAGGCTATAGGCCAGAACAAATAACTTGGTTAAAGTACAAGGACATAGAATGTACTTATTCCCTTGCTATATTTAACAGCTACATAGGGCTTAACAAAGAGTTATTAGTGAAAAGCAAGGAAGCTGGAAGGAAATTAGTTTTTAAAAGAAACTATTATTTCTAACAGTTATTATTTATTCTTTAACAAAAAGGGAAACTTTGAAGACGGGTGCAGTGACTCATGCCTGTAATCCCAGCACTTTGGGAGGCTGAGGCAGGCAGATCACGAGGTCAGGAGTTCTAGACCAGCCTGGCCAACATGATGAAACCCTGTCTCTACTAAAAATATAAAAATTAGCCGGGCATGGTGGCACATGCCTGTAATCCCAGCTAATCAGGAGGCTGAGGCAGGAGAATTGCTTGAACCTGGGAGGCAGAGGTTGCAGTGAGCTGAGACCATGCCACTGCACTCCAGCCTGGGTGACAGAGTGAGGCTCCGTCTCAAAAAAAAAAAAGGGGGAAACTTTGCAGAGGAACTTTTTACTTTTCACAGAGACCAGCCTGGCCAACATGGCAAAACCCTATCTCTACTAAAAGTACAAAAATTAGTGGGGCATGGCAGGTGCCTGTAATTCCAGCTGCTTGGGAGGCTGAGGCAGGAGAACCACTTGAACTCAGGAGGTAGAGGTTGCAGTGAGCGGAGATTGCACCATTGCACTCCAGCCTGGGCAACAAGAATGGAACTCCATCTCAAAAAAAAAAATAATAATAATAAAATAAATAAATAAAATGCTGAGAATCGAGGGAAGAAATAGAAGGCATTATCCAACTCTCCTGTTTTGGTGCAATCCTCCCAATTTCTTGTTGGATATTTCATTTTTCCAAGTACTCCCTCCAGGGCTTACGTGTCTGCATCCAACGCAGAGGTGGTACACAGATGGGGGATGCAGAGGTGGTACACAGAGAGGGGTGCAGAGGTGGCACAAAGAGGAGCGGCTGCCATTTACTGTGTGCTTATTAAGTGCCAGGCATGCTTTATGTCCACGTTGTTTAATCTTCACACCATTTCTATCAGGTCAGTGTTACTTCCCCTGTTTTACAGACGAAAGTATTAGGTTTCAGGGAGAATGCGGAACCTGCCCCAGGTGACTCAGCTAGTAAGTGGCAGAATTAGAACCTGAGCCCGAGTCTATTGGGCTCAAGGTCGCTGCTCTTAGTCACCACTCAGGGTGCTTCCCATGAGGACAGCACCCAGAATCGCCTTGGGGAGTGACACCCTTTGCTTCTTCCCAGGATGAATACAAGTGACTGCCACTGTCCGGCTGTTGCCGGATCGAATCCTGGATCTGCCACTTGGTATCGAAACCTGGTTCCTCTATCTATAAAATGAATGTAATGATAGTATGAATCTCACAGAGCCGTTGTGGGGATTAAATGAAATCAGCCACATCATAAAGCATTTGGCACAGGGACGAATAAGTGTTGAAAAGTATTCGCAGCTACTGTTATTGTTATTATTAAGCTCCCAACTTGAACGTGCACTGAGTTCCAAAAGTTCCTTTTACATTCGTTGTTTGAACTCAGAACACATTTACCCATGTAAAGGATGCTAAACATCCTATTTAATTACCGATAAATACTAGGATAACGTAGCTTACAGGGTGCTGATTGGCTTGGATATGCGTCCTACAAGCTGGGCAATGCTGGATGGGGAGAAGGACCAGCTGGAACCAGTTGTACACGAGGACTTTTCTCCTTAGGAGGCCGAGTCCAAGAGCCCTCCAGCTGCCTCAAGCCCTCCATTCTAAAGGAGATTTTCTGCTTCAAAAATTATCCTCTTCCTGCAGTAGTAATTAAATTTTCAGTGCTTCTGGCGGTTGTTCAAACCTTAAAAAAATAAACAGCCCCTCGCCCTGCGTGCCTTGCATGGAAACTCCCATTTCCTCAGTCCCTGGCTCAGGAAGCCAGCATTCATTTATAAGATCTGGGAATGCCCTGTGCCCCTTAACCTTCCCAAAGTTGTTGATGTTTGTAAGGAGTGGGATCCAGAGTTTCAGGAGTGACGCAGAGAGCTGTCCCAGCATCTGCAGCGTGGATGTTGGCCATGCCCTTCTTATAAAGCTGCCGTGACAATGCTGGTTTCCTCAGGCAGGTTCTCCGCCCCTCCTCTTTGCTCATGTGACACTTTGCTGCTGGAAGGTGCTTTGAGGCAGACCAGCTATCCCTGGAGGGTCACCTGGAGGATCAGCTCTCTTAAGCTGGTCTTTCTTCATCCCTGCTTTCCTTCTTCTGTTTCTTGAGCCAGTTTTTCTAAGAGCCCCTGGATTTTTTTTTTTTTTTTTGAGACACAGTTTTGCTCTTTGTTGCCCAGGCTGGAGTGCAGTGGCACAATCTTGGCTCACTGCAACCTCCGCCTCCCAGGTTCAAGTGATTCTCCTGCCTCAGCCTCCAGAGTAGCTGGGATTACAGGCATGCGCCACCACGCCTGGCTAACTTTGTATTTTTAGTAGAGATGGGGTTTCTCCATGTTGGTCAGGCTGATCTCCAACTCTCAACCTCAGGTGATCCGCCCACCTTGGCTCCTACAGTGCTAGGATTACAGGCGTGAGGCCACCGTGCCTGGCCCAAGAGCCCCTGGATTTTTTTTTGGAGGAGAGCCCCTCAAAGAAAGATAAAGGGGCTCTTAGAAAAACTGGGAGTGTGTGGGGACGGACCTCTGGCAGGGTCTGGGCTTGCTGAGGACTCAGTCAAGGTTATCTATGCCTTGCGGGGCTCAAAGGCGTCTTCAAACCAGTGACAGAACGTGTGGGTTACGGTCAACCAATGCCTAAGGGGCGCATTGGCCAAGCCAAAAACTGCGACGCATATTCTGACAAGTACAAATAAATTTATGGGGACAATGGGACCGAATAATTGAAACCGGGATGAAAGCCAAAGTCACGCAGCTGCCAGAGCTGGGCAGAGCACTGGGAAGAGGGGACGAGTTCTGACATTTCTATATCCCTGTGTCAGAGACAGAGACAGACAGGAATCAGCCGGACTTGCCACACCCCTTCCAGACACTAGCAAGGCCCAGCAAGGCCCGTCGCCGTCCCGCAGTGAAGAGCGCCTGACCTCTTGGCTCCGCAGCTGCCTCTTGAGCATCTCTCCAGGCAAATCCCAGCAGCTCTTCGAAGGACAAGTCTGTCTGATCTTTCTTTCTTTTTTCTTTTTTTGGTTTGTTTTTTTGAGATGGAGTCTAGCCCTGTCGCCCAGGCTGGAGTGCAGTGGCGTGGTCTTCGGTCACTGCAACCTCTGCCTCCCAGGTTCAAGCGATTCTCCTGCCTCAGCCTCCCGAGTAGCTGGATTATAGGCACAGCCACCATGCCTGGCTAATTTTTGTATTTTTAGTAGAGACCAGGTTTCACCATGTTGGTCCGGCTGGTCTCCAACTCCTGACCTCAGGTGATCCGCCCACCTTGGCCTCCCAAAGTGCTGGCATTACAGGCATGAGCCACTGCGCCCAGCCTGGTCCTTCATTCATCTCAGCTCATAGCTCCGCCGTGCGCAGAGCCATCCAAGCTACAAACAATGATTATTTTGTCTTCTTTACTTAAAAACATCCAACCGGTCCCTGAGACATTTTATTTCTACCTCTGACATGTCTTTTCTATTATTGTTGCCATCACAATATTCTTTTTTGTTTGTTTGTTTGTTTGTTTTTTTGAAACGGAGTCTCACTGTGTTGCCCAGGCTGGAGTGCAATGGCGTGATCTTGGCTCATTGCAACCTATGCCTCCCGGGATCAAGCGATTTTCCTGCCTCAACCTCCCGAGTAGCTGGGATTACAGGCGTGCACCACCATGCCTGGCTAATTTTTATATTTCTAGTAAAGACAGGTTTTCACCATGTTGGCCAGGCTGGTCTCGAACTCCTGACCTGAGGCGATCCGCCCACCTCAGCCTCCCAAATTGCTGAGATTACAGGTGTGAGCCACCATGCCCAGCTGCCATCACAATACTCTATTCGAGCCACCTCAATAGTTCTCTGGTGAACGACCGCATGTCCAGTCTCTCCCACCACACTCCTTCCACCCAGCAACACACACACACTCACACTCACACACACACACACACGGCCACATACACTACACACAGGCACACACATACAGGCACACAGACACACACATTCACCTGGGCACATAGACACATAGAGACATACACAGACAGACGCACACATGGACATGGACACATACACACAGGCACACACATATAGACACATACAGACAGACACTAGACAAACACAGACACACGTCCAATTGGACACACAGGCACATAGAGACATACACAAAAACAGACAGACAGACACATGGACATGGACACATACAAACAGGCACACAGACACACATACACTCACCTGGACAAACAGACACATAAAGACGGATGCACAAACACACACACAGTGTATACATACACTGAGACACACATAGATATACACACAGACACATAAACACGTACACAGACATAGACACACAAACGCAGATACATACACAGACACACACATATATTTCTCAGCCAGGCACGGTGGCTCATGCCTGTAATCTCAGCAATTTGGGAGGCCACGGCGGGCGGATCATGAGGTCAGGAGTTTGAGACCAACCTGACCAACATGGTGAAACCCCGTCTCTACTAAAAATACAAATATTAGCTGGGCGTGGTGGTGCACACCTGTAATCCCAGCTACTCGGGAGACTGAGGCAGGAGAATTGCTTGAACCTGGGAGGCAGAGGTTGCGGTGAGCCGAGATTGCGCCACTGCACTCCAGCCTGGGTGACAGAGTGAGACTCTGTCTTTTAAAAAAAAAAGATATTTCCCTTTTGAAAAATCTTTGGATATTTATTTATTTGAAACAGAGTCTAGCTCTGTTGTCCAGGCTGGAGTGCAATGACGCAATCTCGGCTCACTGCAACCTCTGCCTCCCAGGTTCATCTCCTGCCTCAGCCTCCTGAGTAGCTGAGATTACAGGCATGAGCTACCATGCCCGGCTAATTTTGTATTTTTTAGTAGAGACAGGGTTTCTCCATGTTGGTCAGGCTGGTCTTGAACTCCCAACCTTAGGTGATCCACCCACCTTGGTCTCCCAAAGTGCTGGGATTACAGGCCTGAGCCACCGTGCCCAGCCCTGTTTTTTTTTTTTCCTTTTTTTTTTTTTTTTGAGATGGAGTCTCACTCTGTTGCCCAGCCTGGAGTGCAGTAGCACCATCTCAGCTCACTGCGACCTCCACCTCCCAGGTTCAAGCGATTCTCCTGCCTCAGCCTCCCGAGTAGCTGGGATTGCAGGTGCATGCCACCACGCCCAGCTAATTTTTGTATTTTTAGTAGAGATGGGGTTTTACCATGTTGGCCAGGATGGTCTCGTTCTCCTGACCTCGTGATCTGCCCGCCTCCCAGAGTGCTGGGATTACAGGCATGAGCCACCGTGCCCGGCCACTTTTTTTTTTAATTCTTTGAGACAGGGCCTTGCTTTGCCGCCCAGGCTGGAGTGCAATGGCCCCATCTCGGTTCACTGTAGCCTTGACCTCCTGAGCGCAATGGATCCTCCCACCTCAGCCTCCCAAGTAGTTGGAAATACAGGCTTGCACCACCATACCTGGCTAATTTTTTCTTTTTTTGAGATGGGGTCTCACTCTGTCACCCAGTCTGCAGTGCAGTGGTGTGATCCCCCCAATCCTACTGCCTCAGCCCCTTAAGTAGCTGGGATTATAGGCGCACACCACCATGCTCAGCTAATTTTTGTATTTTTATAGAGATGGGGTTTCACCGTGTTGCCCAGGCTGGAGATTTTAAAAATTTTTTTATAGAGACAGGGTTTCCCTGTGTTGCCCAGGCTAGTCTTAAACTCCTGGGCTCAAGTGATCCTTCTCCCTTGGCCTCCCAGAGCGTTGGTATTACAGGTGTGAGCCACCATGCCTGGCCTTGATATTTATTGTTTAGAATAATGTACAAATATCATAGAATAGTATTGAAAGTTTTTTCCAATTTGTTCCCAATGTGATTTCAAATCTACCTTCGGGCCAGGCACAGTGGCTCACGCCTGTAATCCCAGCACTTTGGGAGGCTGAGGTGGGTGGATCACTTGAGGTCAGGAGTTCGAGACCAGCCTGGCCAACATGGTGAAACCCCCGTCTCTACTGAAAATACAAAAATTAGCCGGGCGTGGTGGCACGTACCTGTAATCCTAGCTACTCGGCAGGCTGAGGCAGGAGAATTGCTTGAACCCAGGAGGCGGAGGTTGCAGTGAGCCGAGATTGCACCCTTGCACTAGCCTGGGCGAAGAAGCGAGACTCCATCTCAAAAACAACAACAACAAAAAAAAAACCTTTCCTCCCTCCCTCCCTCCCTCCTTCTTTTCTTCTTTTCTTTTCTTTCTTTCTTTTTTTCTTTCCTTCCTTCCTTCCTTCCTTCCTTCCTTCCTTCCTTCTCTCTCTCTCTCTCTCTTTCTTTCTTTCTTTCTTTTCTTTCTTTCCTCTTTCTTCCTCTCTCTCTCTCTCTCTCTTTCTTTCTTTTCTTTTTTTTCAGAGTCTCACTCTGTCACCCAGGCTGGAGTATAGTGGCACGATCTCAGCTCACTGTAACCTCTGCCTCCTGGGTTCAAGCGATTTTCCTGCCTCAGCCTCCCGAATAGCTGGGATTACAGGTGCCCACCACCATGCCTGGCTACTTTTTGTATTTCTAGTAGAGATGGGGTTTCACCATGTTGGCCAGGCTGGTCTCGAACTCCTGACCTCAGGTGATCTGTCCACCTTGGCCTCCCAAAGTGCTGGGATTACAGGTGTGAGCCACCACTCCTGGCCCAAACCTTTCTTTCTGACCTTATCTCATCCAACACAGCCTTCTTCAGCTCACAGAACCACCAGCCATTTCCTGAAATCAGCCTCTGTGCCTTTCAAGTGTTGTTCTGCTTCTCCCACTTTTTTCTTTTTCTTTTTTTTGAGACAGTGTCTTGCCCTGTTGCCCTTGGAGTGCAGTGGTGCCATCATGGCTCACAGCAGCCTTGACCTCCTGGGCTCAAGTGATCCCCCCACCTCAGCCTTTTGAGTAGCTGGGACTATAGGCACTGCCACTGCACCCTGCTAATTTTAATTTTTTTTTGTAGACATGGGGTCTCACTGTGTTGTCCAGGCTGATCTCAAACTCCTGGGCTCTTGGGAGGCCGAGGTGGGCAGATCACAAGGTCAGGAGTTCGAGATCAGCCTGGCCAACATAGTGAAACCCTGTCTTTACTAAAAATACAAAAAACCAGCTGGGCGTGGTGGTGTGCGCCTGTAATCCCAGCTACTCGGGAGGCTGAGGCAGGAGAATCACGTGAACCCGGGAGGTGGAGGTGACGGTGAGCCAAGATTGCGCCACTGCACTCCAACCTGGGCAGCAGTGCAAGACTCAATCTCAAAAAAAAAAAAAAAAGAAAAACAAAACAAACCAAAAACAACAACAACAACAACAAACTCCTGGGCTCAAGCAATTCTGCCTCAGCTTCTCAAGTACCTGGGCCTACAGGCGTGCACCGCCATGCCTGGCTAATTTTTGTACTTTTAGTAGAGACTGGGTTTCGCCATGTTGGCCAGGCTGGTGTTGAACTCCTGGCCTCAAGTGATCTGCCCATCCCGGCCCCCCAAAGTGCTGGGATTACAGGTGTGAGCCACTGTACCCGGCCAAAAACTGGTTTCTTAATGAAACCTACAAGAATGGTGATATTTGAGCACTAAAGTCATTTGGGATATGGGAGAGGTGAGAGCAAGGTTAGTGCTGGGGCAAGAGGGACAAGGAAGTCCCAGTTGTCCTCAAGGAGGTCACAGGCAAGTAGAAGCAGCAACTGCCCCTTCACACAGAGGAGGTTGGGGGGCCGAGGAAGGTGGCTGTGGGCAGGGAGAGGCACGGAAGCTTCCGGGAGGACCTCCCCTGGGAAGGCAGTCTCAAAGGCGGCCACAGGGAAGGACGTGTGAAGCAGAGGCTCCGTGTGACCGTGCAGGTGGGAGCGAAAAGGGCTTCTCTGTCCAGCTGGGTGACCGTGGAAGGAGGACGTGTACGGGGTGCCTGTTCTCTAAGTGCGGGGCTGCCTTTGCTCACAGTATCCCAAATACTGGCCATTGAAGTCTACTTGTTAAGGGATAATTCACTCTGTGCCAATGAGGAAGGACTCAAGGTCAAGCGTATGCTGTTCATTTATTTTGGAGTATTGTCCCTGGGGAGAAGGCACAGTCCTGTCTTCATTTCACACAGCAAAGGGGGCAGAGGGGCGAGGACAGTGCGTTTCTTCTGGGGGGTCTTCAGCTGAAACAGTGCTCGTGTTAACCCTCCCACCCCTCATTATCTCTCCTTCCTTTTCCTTCACAAGCAGACACTGAATCATATCTGTGTGCCAGGCTCTGTGCTGGGTGCAGGGGACTCATCAGGGATGAACAAGGTGGGCTCGCTGCTCTGTGCCCTACAGCCCAGCCTTCATTTCTCCCCTCCTGGCGAGGGAGTAGGTCAGGGTGGTTGTCCTGCACTTTCACCCGTATAAGACCAGGCACTGGTACCAGCTGCAAAATTGGCAGCATCCAGTGCAAAATAAAAATGCAGGGCCCTTTGCTAAAAAGATTGTTAAGCACTTCAGGACAGCTAATGCGGAGACTAAACTAAGCACGGGGTTCTAGTGATCTACCGCAGAACATGGCAACTGTAGTTAATAATAATGTATTGTTAGTTCTCTAAGCGGCTAAAACTGTAGCTTTAAAATGCTCTTATCACAAAGAAATTGTCAGAATGTGAGGTGATGCCTGTGTTCATTAGCTTGATTTAATAAAGCCACAATGTCTACATATATAGTAACATCGCATTGTACCCCATAACTATACACAATATTATTAACAGTACAATTTAAAAAACAAAATAAAACCAAACATGAGGCCTTTGTGCATCTGCACAGGTGACAGACTGTGAAAGCCAGCCCTGTCAGGCACCACATTCCTGTCCAGTGATGGGACAGAGGGGAGCGGGGAAGGTGGGAGGTAGCGGTAGGAAGAGAAGGGGAGGAAGAAGGTAGCTGACAGTAAAGTGATCGGCGGCTCACGTTCACGATAGCCACCCATGAAAGGCCCTTGGTTTTCATTCTTAAAGAATCCGTCTCGGCCAGGCGCGGTGGCTCACGCCTGTAATCCCAGCACTTTGGGAGGCCGAGGCGGGCGGATCACGAGGTCAGGAGATCGAGACCGTCCTGGCTAACACGGTGAAACCCCGTCTCTACTAAAAATATACAAAAAAATTAGCCGGGCGTGGTGGCGGGCGCCTGTAGTCCCAGCTACTCGGGAGGCTGAGGCAGGAGAATGGCGTGAACCCGGGAGGCGGAGCTTGTAGTGAGCCGAGATCGCGCCACTGCACTCCAGCCTGGGCGACAGAGCGAGACTCGGTCTCAAAAAAAAAAAAAAAAAAAAAAAAAAAAAAAAGAATCCGTCTCTAGTCGGCTTTCATACAGCAAGTGTCCTGATCCCTTAATTATTTTCAGAATCCCATCTGGGGACCTTTTGCCATCCTTCTAGGTTTTTGTCATTGTGTATAGTAGAGGACAGTATTTCCTGGTTTCTCTGCACCGAAGCTGAGTCAGGAGAATGTGTGGGAAAGGGAAGTCGTTCCCTATGGGGAAGGGTGTGGAGAAGAGCGGGGAAAGCTCTGCCGACAGTGGACTAAAAGATTGCCTTTTCTAGGCCGGGTGCGACAGAGCCAGACTCCATCTTGGAAAAAAAAAAAAAAAAAGATTGCAGTTTCCAAAACCAGCCAGCAAGAATATGATAGTTAACTGAGTTCTGAACGGAGCTCTATATTGGACTGTGATGATGCACATCTGCCTTAGTCTGTTTGCGCTGCTAGAACAAAACACCTGAGACTGAGTTATTTATAAGGAGCAGAAATTTATTTCTTACAGCTTTGGAGGCCAAGATCACCGCGCCTGGTGTTGGTGTCCGGTGAGGGCTGCTCTCTGCTTCCAAGATGGCGCCACGTTGCTGTGACCTCCGGAGGAGCCAATGCAGTGTCCTCTCCTGGTGGAAGGCAGAAGGCAAGAAAATGCTCCCTTCAACCTTGAGCCCCCCCACTTTTTTTTTTTTTTGTTTGTGTTTTGTTTCTGTTTTTGTTTTTGAGATGGAGTCTCACTCTGTCGCCCAGCCTGGAGTGCAGTGGCACGATCTTGGCTCACTGCAACCTCCGCCTCCCAGGTTCAAGCCATTCTCCTGCCTTAGCCTCTGAAGTAGCTGGGATTACAGGCATTCACCACCACACCTAGCTAATTTTTAATATTTTTAGTAGAGATGGGGTTTCGCTATGTTTGTCAGGCTGGTCTCACACTCCTGATCTCAAATGATCCTCCCGTCTCAGCTTCCCAAAATGCTGGGATTACAGGTGTGAGCCCTTTTTATTTTTGAGACAAGAGTTTCACTCTTGTTGCCCAGGCTGGAGTGCAATGGCACAATCTTGGCTCACTGCAACCTCTGCCTCCCAGGTTCAAGCCATTCTCCTGCCTTAGCCTCTGAAGTAGCTGGGATTACAGGCATGTGCCACCATGCCCGGCTAATTTTGTATTTTCAGTAGAGATGAGCGTTCACCATGTTGGTCAGGCTGGTCTCAAACTCCTGACAGCAGGTGACCCACTCGCCTTGGCCTCCCAAAGTGCTGGGATTACAGGTGTGAGCCACAGCGCCCAGCCAGTGAGCCCTTTTGTAAGGGTGCTAATTCCACTTATGTGGGGAGAGCCCTCCTCACTTAATCACCTCCCAAACGCCATACCTCTCAACACCACTGCACTGGGGATGAAGTTTCAACATGAATTTTGGAGGGGATGCCACGTCATCATTCAAACCATATCAACATTCACACCAAAGCGAGGGGGATCTTGTTTACTAAACTGTGGGCTACCAGCTCCTGCAGTGGGTGGGTCCATGGGAACCAGAATCCAGCTTTGTGAAAATTAAGATTCAGCCACTTCAAAAGTGGGAAACTACACTTAGACCAGTTCCAGCGTGGTAGAGAAATGTGCAGCATGATGGCATAAGCATTCTTTTTTTTTTTTTGAGTTGGAGTCTCCCTCTATTGCCCAGGCTGGAGTGCAGTGGCGCAATCTCGGCTCACTGTAATCTCCACCTCCTGGGTTCAAGTGATTCTCCTGCCTCAGCCTCCATTGCCTCAGCAATGGAGTAGCTGGGACTACAGGCGCATGTCACCACACTTGGCTAGTTTTTTTGTATTTTTAGTAGAGATGGGGTTTCACCATATTGGCCAGCCTGGTCTCAAACTCCTGACCTTGTGATCCACCCACCTTGGTCTCCCAAAGTGCTGGGATTACAGGCGTGAACCACCACGCCCGGCCAGTATTCATCTTTATATAGGAATTAGGGGATGGGGAAATTATTAGTAATCTCTTTCTTGCTCAATAAGGAGCTTTGGGGAGTATTTTGGCTGAAATGTTTGAGTTACTATTCTAAATGCCTCTGTCCTTCTCAGGAATGAGACCTGCAGACCAGAATGGGAGAGATGGGCAGAAACTCTAGAGCTGGATGGATCTTTTTGGAAAGAGGGAAGAGTTAACTCATGAGAGAGAAAGGATAGCTGCTGCCAGGAGGAAGGAGGCTGGGTGGCTGACGGTGAGTCTTGGGCAGGTAGGCTGAGAAAGAGATGGTGAAAGGGGCATTGGAGAGGGTCTGCAGGCAGGAGCAGTGTGAGCGCTCACTCAGCTACTTGAGAGGCTGAGGTGGGAGGATCCCTTGCACCCAGGAGTGTGAGGCTACTGTGAGTTGTGATTGTCCCACTGCACTCCAGCCTGGGCAACAGAGCAAGATCCTGTGTCAAAAAGAAAAAAAAAAAGATAAGCTCAATTTAAAAGCAAGTAGTGCCCATGTCAAGCTGTATGCTTGTTTTTGTTTTTTGTTGTTTGGGGGGAGGGTGGGATCTTGCTAGGTTGCCTAGCTGTTCTCCAACTCTTGGGTTCAATTGATCCTATGGCCTCAGCCTCCTGAGTAACTGGAACTACAGGTGCATACCACCATGTCTGGTTGGGCTGTATGGCTTTGCCCTTGCATTAGGCACAAAGCTGTGGGCTTCCTGGTGAGCACCTTCAAAGCAGTCTTACTCAAAGAAGCATTGGTCAGGCCCTTAAAGTCACTGAAAACACTCCCAGTCACCATGGCATCTGATATGGTTTGGCTCTGTGTTCCCACCCAAATCTCACCTGGAACTGTAATCCCCGTAATCTCCACACGTCAAGGGAGAGACCAGATGGAGATGATTGAATCACCGGGGTGGTTTTCCCCATGCTGTTCTTGTGATAGTGAGTGAGTCTCATGAGATTTGATGGTTTATAAAGGGCAGTTTCCCCTGCACTCGAACACAGGCTCTCCCACCTGCCACCAAGTAAGACGTATCTTTGCTTCTCCTTCATCTTTGCCATGATTGTAAGCTTCCTGAGGCCTCCCCAGCAATGGAGAACTGTGAGTCCATTAAAACTCTTTTCTTTATAAATTACTCAGTCTCAGATATTTCTTCATAGCAGTATGAGAACAGATTAATACAGCATCTTCCAAGCAAACACTGAAGAGGGGGCTGGAACATTTTCCAGTGGTAATTTTTCTTTTTCTTTGTTTTTTAAGACATGGGGTCTCACTCTGTCACTCGGACTGCAGTGCAGTAGCGTGATCTTGGCTCACTGCAGCCTTGACCTCTGGGCTCAAGTGATCCTCCTGCCTCAGTCCCCCAAGTAGTTTGGACTATAGGTGCGTGCCACCATGCCTGACTAATTTTTTAATTTTTTTGTAGAGACAGGGTTTTGCCATGTTGCCCAGGATGGTCTCGAACTTGTAAGGTAATAAGGTAATTGTAAGGTAATAAGGTAATAAACTGCATCTTTATTCTTCACATCAGCCCTGTGAAGTCACTTCCTACATTTTGACAAGATGGAAACTGAGTCACAGAGAGGTTAAGTACCTTGCCTAAAGTAACAAATGCATCAAGCCAGAGCTGAGATTTAAATCAGGCAGTTTGGCCTCAAAGCCTGTATCTTTGACCAACATGGACTATTTGGCTCTGAATTACAGAAGTTCTGGCACCATGACCATTAAGTGTCTTTGGACACAAGGGAGAGCAGGTATGAGGACATGAAAAATTCAACATAGTTCATTTCTATTAATAAAAAGATGTCTCAAATCTTAGTAATATTGAGGATAGGTGTCTTTCAATCTTTTTTTATACCTTAGTTATAATCCAGATAACCAAAAACAGCTGTGTGATTTTGTCCACACAAATCTAAAGCTGAGAGAATCACGAATGAGAACAAGCTTGGCCCATGGCCTGCGGGCCAAATGCAGCCCAGGATGGCTTTAATGCAGCCCAATGCAAAATCGTAAACTTTCTTAAAACATTATGAGTTCTTTTTGTGATTTTTTTTTTTTTTTTTTTTTTTTGCTCATCAGCTACCATTAGTGTTAGTGTATTTCACATGTGGTCCAAGACAATTCTTCATCTTCCAGTGTGGCCCAGGTAAGCCAAAAGATTGGCCCGCCTTTGAGTTAGAAGAAGGCAGCTGCTGAGGATGAGGGCAGTAATGATATGGACACTTGCCATGTGACACTACTTAGCATTTTTATTTTTAAAAACTTTATTGATTCATTTTTGAGACAAGGACTCACTCTGCTGCCCAGGCTGGAGTGCAGGGGCTTGAACATAGCTCACTGTAGCCTTGAACTCCTGGGCTCATGTGATCTTTCTGCCTCAGCTTCCTGAGCAGCTGGGACTACAGGTACACCACCGTATCTGGCTAACTAATTTTTTTTTTTTTTTTTTTTGGTAGAAGTGGGGTATTGCCATGTTGCCCAGGCTGGTCTCAAATGCCTGGGCTCAAGCTATCCTCCCACCTCAGCCTCCAAAACGGCTGGGATTATAGGCATGAGCCACCATGCCCAGTCCTTGGTATTTTTATACACTAACTTTACAACTCAGAAAAAGCCTTTCTTACAGACAAGGAAACTAAAGCTCAGAGATATTAAATTACTCATACAAAAACATACATTTCTTTTTTTTCTTTTGAGATGGAGTTTTACTCTTGTTGCCCAGGCTGGAGTGGAATGGCACAATCTCGGCTCACTGCAACCTCCACCTCCCAGGTTCAAGCGATTCTCCTGCCTCAGCCTTGCAAGTAGCTGAGATTACAGGCATGCGCTACCATGCGGCTAATTTTTGTATTTTTAGTAGAGACGGGGTTTTACCACATTGGTCAGGCTGATCTTGAACTCCTGACCTCAGGTGATCCGCCCTCCTCAGCCTCCCAAAGTTCTGGGATTACAGGTGTGAGCCACTGCGCCTGGCCTCATTTCTAAAATGGGCTTTGAATGCAGGTCTTTGAGATTTCAAAATGTGGGCTCTTTTTATTCTGCAAAAAACAAGTACAGTTAATTTTATGCATTTTTCTTGGTATAAATTAATATAATTAAAAATGTTGGGGGCCGGACACAGTGGCTCACGCCTGTACTCCCAGCACTTTGGGAGGCCAAGGCGGGTGGATCATGAGGTCAGGAGTTCGAGACCAGCCTGGCCAACGTGGTAAAACCCCATCTCTAAAAAAAAAAAATATACAAAAATTAGCTGGGTGCAGTGGTACACGCCTGTAGTCCCAGCTACTCGGGAGACTGAGGCAGGAGAATCACTTGAATCCAGGAAGCGGAGGCTGCAGTGAGTGGAGATTGTGCCACTGCACTCCAGTCTGGGCAACAGAGTGAGACTCCATCTCAAAAAAAAAAAAAATGTTTGGGCCAGGTGCAGTGGCGCATGCCTGTAATCCCAGCACTTTGGGAGGCCGAGGCAGGCAGATCACTTGAGGTCAGGGGTTTGAGACCAGCTTGGCCAACATGGTGAAACCCCATCTCTACTAAAAATACAAAAATTAGCTGAGCATGGTGGTGGGCACCTGTAGTGCCAGCTACTCGGGAGGCTGAGGCAGGAGAATTGTTTGAACTCAGGAGGCGGAGGTTGCAGTGAGCAGAGATCGCGCCACTGCACTCCAGCCTGGGCGACAGAGCAAGGCTCTGTCTCAAAAAAAAAAAAAAGTTTGGATTAAGAATACAGTATTGGTGAGTGGCCATCTTGCTCCTGCCCCTGACAGAGTCTCCGGTCGGGGTCACAGGGATGCTAAGACTGCTGCCTGGACCTTCGATGACCACGCTGTCCCGGGTGGAACTTTCTGCCACTGCCACAGTGGCCCCCTCTCTGAAGAATGCAGCCTTCCTAGGTCCAGGGGTATTGTGGGCAACAAGGACCTTTCACCCAGGCAGCCACACCTTGCCCCTCTACCACCTTTTCCTGAAAATGGAGGAAAAGTTCGTCTTGGACTGATCCTTGAGGAATTCCTCAGGTTTCTTTATCTTAAAGCCGGTGTAACAGGACCCTGTGTGCTCGGAACTGGGCTTATCTTGTATGCTTTATCCAAAGAAATATATGTGATTATTGCAGAGACCTTCTCGACCATATCAGTAGTAGGGTTACCTGTCTATGCAATTAAAAAATATGGTGCCTCTGTTGCAGAATTTGCTGGTAAACTCAATGAGCAAAAACTTGCCCAACTAGAAGAGGCGAAGCAGGCTCCCATCAAACAAATCCGGGATGGAATTGATTTGGAGAAGTCACAGCAGGCACTAGTTCAGAAGCGCCATTACCTTTTTGATGTGCAGAGGAATAACATTGCTATGGCTTTGGAGGTTACTTACCAGGAACTACTGTATAAAGTATGTAAGGAAGTAAAGAATCGCCTGGACTATCATATATCTGTGCAGAACATGATGCATTGAAAGGAACAAGAGCACATGATCAATTGGGTGGAGAAGTACGTGGTGCAGAGCATCTCTGCACAGCAGGAAAAGGAGACAATTGCCAAGTGCATTGAAGACCTAAAGCTTCTGGCAAAGAAGGCTCAAGCACAGCCAGCTATGTAAATGTATCTATCCCAATTGAGACAGCTGGAAACAGTTGACTGTTTGTGTCTACTGAAGTTATAATTTACCTCTCCTAAAAGTGAAAAGTTTATTTCATAGAGTGAAAGCACAAAATCTATTGGCCAGTCAGATGTTTCTCATCCTTCTTACTCTGCATTTGAGTTCCATGATCACTTCTGAATAAGCAGTTTGCCTTCATTAAAACCTGCTGCCTGACTAAAGATTACCAGGTTACAGTTTAAATTTGTAATTAATTCTACCATCTTTAATGAAGTGACAATTGAATGAAAAAAAATACAGTATCATTTTTACCTTAACTATCAGCTCCAGATATCAGGAACTCAGTGGCCATCTGTTGTTCTGCAAGTTACTCTTGCAGAGAATTCACTTTGCACTTTTTCGTGTAAGGCAAGTACACAAAATAGAGGGGTAAGACATGGAAATGTTGACCTAAAAGGAAGAAGCTGAGGCAAAATTAATCTAAATAGAGAGTTTTTTTGGGCCAAGTTTGAGGATTGCAACCCGACAGCGTAGATTTCAGTTGCCCTGAATCTGCACTCAGGTTAGCAGCAGTTACAAGTGACTTTTTTTTTTTTGAGACGGAGTTTTGCTCTTGTTGCCCAGGCTGGAGTGCAATGGCATGATCTTGGCTCACCGGAACCTCCGCCTTCTGGGTTTAAGTGATTTTCTTGCCTTAGCCTCCCAAGTAGCTGGGATTACAGGCATGTGCCACCACGCCCAGCTAATTTTGTTATTTTAGTAGGACGGGGTTTCTCCGTGTTGGTCTGGCTGGCCTCGAACTCCTAACCTCAGCAATCTGCCCACCTCAGCCTCCCAAAGTGCTGGGATTACAGGTGTGAGCCAACGCGCCGGGCCACAAGTGGATTTTTAAAGGGAAAAAAGAAGCAATTCCTGGCCGGGTACAGTGGCTCACGCCTGTAATCCCAGCACTTTGGGAGTCCGAGGTGGGCAGACCACAAGGTCAGGAGTTCGAGACCAGGCTGACCAACATGGTAAAACCCCATCTCTACTAAAAAAAAAAAAACAAAAAAAAACAAAAATTAGCCAGGCGTGGTGTTGGGCACCTGTAGTGCCAGCTACTCAGGAGACTGAGGCAAGAGAATTGTTTGAACCCGGGAGGCGGAGTTTGCAGTGAGCCAAGATCACACCACTGCACTCCAGCCTGGGCAACAGAATGAGACTCAGTGTCAAAAAAAAAAAAAAAAAAAAGGCAATTCCTGAGTTGTTACCAACAACAATTTATATTAACATCAAATAAACTATTGATGGGCTCTACATTGTTAAGCTGTAGGTTGTGGGTTACAGTGTCCAGTGTGGCATTATTAGGTTAATTTATAGCTACTTGTGGCAATAGTAAGCTGTTTCAAGACATGAATATATAGCTCGGAAAGGGGAGAGTAGGGCACAATCACTGTTTCATTTCAGTGCCTCTCTGGGCCTGGTAGTTTAAAAGGACTGGTATTCCTCTAATAAAAGGTCTTTTCTCAGAAACATAGTGTAACTTTGCACCCAGTTTTCAGATACACATTGTTGCAACTAGAGGTTCTGCTGAATGAAACAGTCTAAGGCAGCAAGTGTGGGTTCCCATTTACCTCCCTGCATCTGTGCCTGCTCTGTTGCTCCCCCCAATTCACTGTGACCTCCTAGTTTCCCAGCACAACTTCTGCTTGAATGGACCAAGTTAATATCTGGTGAAGATAATTTTGTAATGACACAGACTTGCTTCATTCATTCTACTATAATTACATGAGAATTCCTGCTGTCCTGCTTCTGATAATGTTCTAGAATGAACATCAATAAGGAGAGGAGAGACCCTTGGAAAGCCAGCTCCTCCAAAACCTGTTGCTTGTGAGATTGCACAATGGCAAGAAACATTTGGACCTAGTTTTTGGCAGTATGCTGTGTCCAGATTGCCTGGAGTCCCATTTATGCTACTCAGCAGTTTCACTCCCTATTGGCAAAATAGTTTAATTTTTGTTGGATACCACTCAGTCTCTAGGACATACAGTGATTGCCTGATGGGAGTTCATGGGCATTTGTTACTGAAAATAGACAACATTCAAGGTAAAGAGCTCAAAAGTAGAAAAGTGTATGTAAAATGATAAAAGGACTGGGTTAGTCTGAAGGACTGATGACTGAGATTCCTTCTGGCTCTACCATCTATTTCTACCTCTGCTTACCAGATGCTGGTTTTGCAATGCTTTCGCGGTTCCTGTTTTGTCAAGAGAGCCTAAAGAAGGTGCTCAGAACAAAATTAAATTTTAATCTAGGCTAATTTTCAAAGTATGAGCCTCAGTTTTCTTATTTGATTAAGGGAGGTATTTATAATATCTACCTCGTGGGAATGTTAGGAAGATTAAATGTAATGGTGTGCTGAAAATGCTTTGGAAATGAAGATATTATTGTAACTCAGTTCTCCATAAGAATTGAATAGGAAATTGTTACAAACTGTCAACTGAAGAATGATGAGGTTCATACATTTGGAAAGGAGAGCTTTACTTCTCAAAAAGGGCTGCAGCCTGGAGGGGGCCCATTCTGACAGGCTGGGAAGTGTAGCCTCTGGCCAGAAGCTGGAAATAGGCAGTTTGAAAGTTGGAAGAAGAGACAGGGATTTACGCTGAATGGAGTGGCAGAATATACATATTCAATAAGCTATAGGTGGAGCCATGAATATTTATGAGACGGGAAACATGTGCATGTGCAATTGAGCTTCATGCTTCTCCCTGGGTCCCATGTTTAAAAAATGGTGGCATTAAAAGCATGATCTCAGGGTGGAATTTTCAGGACTCTGATGTCAAAAGGTGAAGCAGAGGACTGGAAAACCCTCACTGTGCACCTTGTGTAGACTGGCCAAAACCACTCTGTGGTTGGTGGTCTCTCATCAGGAAGGAATGCTGTTCAGTTGTGTACAAACTGTAAAAAGGGAAGGGTGGCAGTCTAGCCTTTGGTTGAACTCAGTGGTGGCATCTTTTAAAGGCCTGGTTTCTGTTTACCTTTAGGGAAGAAAGTCAAAAGGCAGTTAGAAAGGGAGGGGGTGTAACCAGCCAAGTCCAGCCTTTCACCCTATATTAGTCAGTTTTTATGCTGCGGATAAATACATACCTGAGACTGGGAAGATAAATAGATATGTATGTACGTATGTATGTATTTATTTATTTATTTTGAGATGGAGTTTTGCTCTTTCACCCAGGCTGGAGTGAAGTAGTGTGATCTCAGCTCATTGCAACCTCTGCCTCCCGGGTTCAAGCGATCCTCCCACCTCAGCCTCCCAAGTGGCTGGGATTACAGGTACCCGCCACCATGCCTGGCTAATTTTTGTATTTTTAGTAGAGATAGGGTTTCGCCCTGTTGGCCAGGCTGGTCTTGAACTCCTGACCTCAGGTGATCTACCTGCTTTGGCCTCCCAAAGTGCTGGGATTACAGGCGTGAGACACTGTGTGCAGCTGATAAATAGATTTAATGGACTCACAGTTCCACATGGCTGGGGAGGCCTCACAGTCATGACAGAAGGTGAAAAGCACTTCTTACATGGCAGCGGCAAGAGAGAATGAGAGCCAAGAGAAAGGGGTTTCTCCTTATAAAACCATCAGATCTCGTGAGACCTATTCACTACCATGAGAACAGTGTGGGGGAAACTGTCTCCATGATTCAATTATCTCCCACCGGGTCCCTCCCACAACACCTGAGAATTATGGGAGCACAGTTCAAAATGAGATTCGGGTGGGGACACAGGGCCAAACCATATCACATCCCATTATGGCTAGGAACTCAGCTTTCAAAGTTTCTCTGGGGTCCCCTTGGCCAAGAGGGAGTCTGTTCAGTCAGTTGTGGGGCTTAGAATTTTATGTTTATCTCTCAAACCCTAAATATTGTCTGGTAGTGTGGATGAACTTATTAAAGTGCAGCTCCCCAGATTTCATCTCTGGATTCTGAGTAGTGGGCATAGAATCAGTGATTGATTCTGATGAGAGGCACATGGAAGCACTCAGCATATTTTGTTGAATAAATGAAGCAGATGTGAATTGAAATTGGAAGGATGGGTGAAGCTTTGAAAAGAGTTTTGAAGGATGATGAGAATGAGGTAGCTGAGGAATGTTCTAGATTCAGAGGCCTGCACAAACACCTGACAATACAGAGGGTTTGAAGAACAGTGTGTGGTCTGGTATGTCCTGATGTACCAAGGGGCATAATGTGAGATGAGATTGCAAAGGTAATTTAGAATCTGATCTTAGAGAACCTTGAATGCCATAATAAAGGTTTGGACCAAATTCCATAAGAATAACACACCACTGATGGTTGTAGGGAAAGAAGACTGACATAATACATACATTCTGGAATTCTGTCCTGATGTCCCTCATAGCAGTATAATTTTCCTGAAAGATTTCTTGTAGAGACAAAAGCCTGGAGACAGGGTGACTAGTGGGAGGCTATTGAGCAGTTGAGCAAGAGCGACAGTTGGAATGAAAAGCAGGGGACAGAGACACAAGGGAAGCGGTGGGGTTGAATGACCAGGCCTTGGCAGCTGAGTGGTATAGGAGGGAAGCAAGAAGAGAAGGGGGCGTGGAGGGTCACAGTCTGAGTAATTGCCCTCGGCAGAGAAAAAAACATAGCAGAGTTGGTCTGAATATGTTCCGTCCTCTCGGTAATTTTCTTAAGACTTGTGGTTTGGGGTCTGTTATTAACTCTCTGAACACACTCAACACACTCCGGCCAATCAACTCTTGCTTGGACCATTTTCTCCTGCTGTTGCCAAGACATCAGCGAGGCCCATTGAGTCCAGTGACAGACCCTTCCTCTTAAAGGAGAATGCCAGCTACTTTCAAAGGAACGGGTTTCTAATTTTTTTGGTACTCCTTTCTCGTTTGCATCCTCATGGCAACAGGGAACACACAGCTTGCTCTTGCCTACAGCTCTGAGATTTAAGATTCGCAGAGCTGCTGGGTGGGCAGTTTTGGAAGACAGCGGTTAGTTTTTGGGTTCTTTTTCCATCTTGGCCCAGCACAACTAGTTACATGCAGGACATTAAGATCACATTGTCCGGGGACTCATGCACTAAATCCCATTAGATAGATAATCTCTGAGCCCTGATTATTTTGTTCTTAAGCTGTCTTCATATGCATAAATACACGGCATTGCCAGAATTGAATGGTGTTTATTACAAGTTCATTTGAGAGTGGTGCTGATACGAGGCAGTACTTGGGATAGTAGTTGTGAAACGGTCACATCGTCTGCTAGAGGAGATGCGGAATTGTATATGGGAGGTGTTCGGGTTTCCATGTTTCTGACTGTTGGCAGCAGGTGGAGTAGGATGCCATTGTTGGGTAGAAGTACAATAAAGAGATGCTTCTTCCTGCTGACAAAAGCCAACTAAAACGCTTCTCTCATGACAAGTTGAATTTAAGGCATAAATCAGAAAGCAGGCTGAGCTACTCAGAGAAAAGATTCCTAGGTTAATATGCATTTAGTAGCAGGAATTTTGTAAAGTATATTGAAGAGGGCAAACCTCCTTGGCAATATAATTAATAAAGATAGTACTTGAAGTGCTTTATTTTTTTGAGACGGAGTTTTGCTCTTGTTGCCGAGGCTGGAGTGCAATGGCGCGATCTCAGCTCACTGCAACCTCCGCCTGCCGAGTTCAAGTGATTCTCCTGCCTTGGCCTCCTGAGTAGCTGGTGGCATGTGCCACCATGCTCGGCTAATTTTGTATTTTTAGTAGAGACGGGGTTTCGCCATGTTAGCCAGGATGGTCTTGATCTCCCGACCTTAGGTGATCCACCCGCCTCGGCCTCCCAAAGTGCTGAGATTACAGGTGTGAGCCACCACGCCCCACGAAGTGCTTCTTATAGAGTATGAGGTTTATACCTCTGTGGGTGTTTTGCCCTAGGCACTGTCAAAATGGATGCAATCAGTTTCTGATGTATAGGAGTTAACAGTCTAAGAAGAATAACACAGAAGAATACACAGAGAATTGTCTTAGACTGTTCAGGCTGACATGACAAAATACCATTGACGGGGTGGCTTAAACAACAGAAATTTATTTTTTTCAGTTCTGGAGGCTAGAAGTCTGAGATCGGGGTGCCAGCAGAGTTGGGTTCTGGTGAGGCTTCTCCTCTTGGCTCGCAGACAGCCACCTTCTTGTGTTCTCACAAGACAGTGCTGTGTCTTCACACAATGGCCATTCCTCTTCTTGTTGATCAAACCCAATTTCAGTCAGGTATTAGCAGCCATATATTTCAGAGGAGATGAGGCCCCTCTCCAGCCCAAGGGGGTCTTCTTCAATAATCTAAGTCAGTTCAGTATATCAGGTGTGACTATTTCATAATTACTATTCTGAGTCTTGCCTCATCCCAGCACCACTCTCAAATGAACTTGGAATAAACACCATTCGATGCTGGCAATGCTATGTATGTATGAATATGAATAAACCATCCAGTGACTGCTTTTGGCACAGGTTGGAATTATGGATTGAACTGTGTCTCTACAGAAACATGCTGAAATCCTAACCTTTGGCTCTGGTGAATGTGATATTTGGAAACGGGATATTTGCAAATGTAATTAAGTTGAGATGAGGTCATTAGGGTGGGCACTAATCCAATATGACTGGCGTCCTTATAAGGAGAATGCCATGTGAAGATGCAGACACAGGGAGAATGCTACGTGATGATGGAGGCAGAGATTGGAGTGATGCACCTACAAGCCAAGGAATGCCAAGGGTTGCCAGCAGCCATCAGAAGCTGGGTATGGAACAGATCCTCCCCTAGAGTCTTCGAGAGAACATGGCTTTGCTGACACCTGCATTTGGCCTTCTGGCCTCCAGAACTGTGAGAGCATAAATATCTCTTGTTGAAGCCACCCAGTTTGTTCTACTTTGTCATGGCCACCCCAGAAAAAGAATAGAAAAAGAGCTGATTAATGACACAAGAAGAGAAGCAGCTGGGAACTTCCGGAAACATTTCCTCCCACTGCCTTTGAGAAAGGGCATCAGGATGGGGCATTTCTTCCACTGTTTTTGTCCATCATGATTTTGGTGCATGGAGGGGCTGCAGCCGTCTCAACACTGCATGGGATAAGCTGAGGACAAACGACAACACGCAGGGCCCTGGCAGAGCTGAACGTACAGGCCCATGATGATGCCATCGAATGGTCAAATTATCCTGGAGTCACTGGATTTCCTATTGTGCGAGATAACAAATTTGCTCTTTCCTTGTGCCACTTTTAGTTAGGTTTTCTGTTATCTGCCTACAAAACACCTTTGATATATCAAGGGTTAGTGGTATCTAGAGGAAATCACTGAGGTCAGGAAATCTTTTGTTTTCTACCAGCTGCTGACCATGGCCATCAATCCCAATGAGTCCTATGCAGAGAAGATGCTCCCTGAAATCGCACACCCTTTATTACTAGCCAGTCCCAAATTCCTGTAAAGACTTCTTCCCTGGTGTAGTAGCTGGGTCCTATACAAGCCTTGAGGTCTTTCTTCCTGGGCTTTGTGCATGTTTTCCATCCCAGAAACACTCTTCCACCCTACAGTCTCCTCCACCTAGCTACTCTGCCCACCTTCTGGGTTTCAGCTTCAATATCATTGCTTTGAGAAGTTTCTACTGATTCCCAAGTCAGCCCCTCTATGGCTTTCTGGGCACCCTGGACTTGCCCTGTCTTAGCATTGACTACACTGTATTGTAATTGCCTGTTTACTGTTGCTATCTCCCACTGGACTCTTGTGGGCAGATACTCTGAACATCCTGTTTACTGCTGCATGCTCAGTCTAACACAAAGCCTGACTCACAGTAGGCGCTTGATATATGTTTGTTAAGTGAATAAAATAAAAGACATGGCAGTGTCAACAGTCTGTAATTTAGAATTAATCTATGTTTAGGCTAGGGCCGTGAAAAAAATGGGAGCTGGGCTGGGAGCAGTTGTACTTGCCTGTAGTCCCAGATACTCGGGAGGCTGAGGTGGAAGGGTCCCTTGAGCCCAGGAGTTCTGTGCCACCCAGAATGATGGATCTGCACTAAGTTTGGCATCAATATGGCACCCTCCCAGGAGCGGGGAACCACCAGGTTGCCTAAGGAAGGGTGAACTGGCCCAGGTCAGAGATGGAGCCGATCAGAACTCTCATGCAGATCAGTAGTGGGACCATGCCTGTGAATAGTCGCTGCCCTCCAGCCTGGGCAACATAGTGAGACCCTGTCTCTAAGAAACAAGCAATAAGAAAAGAAAAAGAAAAGGGACCAAGGCAGGGCTTTGGCAAAACACAAAGCAAGCCAGCCAATCTTTAACCCCAGCCTTGGGCTTCTAAACTGGGATTCCTCCACACTTACTCCTTTTTATTTTCCTCCCATTTGCTTCTCTCTTCAGTTCTCCTGAACATTCTCTAGGTCTGGGCCTTAATGGGTACTTATGAGTTAAAAAAAAGAAATGATGATGGGTTACCTAGGAGTGGTCAACGTATCTATTACTTCTAGGTAAAAAACACAATGTTTTAAGTACCTGTAAAAACAACATGTCTTGGCTGGGCGTGGTGGCTCATGCCTGTAATCCCAGTACTTTGGGAGGCTGAGGCAGGCAGATCACGAGGTCAGGAGCTCAAGACCAGTCTGGCCAGCATGATGAAACCCTGTCTCTACTAAAAATACAAAAAATTAACCGGGCATGGTAGTGGGTGCCTGTAATCCCAGCTACTTGGGAGGCTGAGGCAGGAGAATTGCTTGAACCTGGGAGGCGGAGTTGCAGTGAGCCGAGATTGCGCCACTGCACTCCAGCCTGGGCGACAGAGTGAGACTCATCTCAAAAAACAAAACAAAACAAAAAAATACATGTTTCCAGAAAGCTCCTAAAAAATTAGTATCAAGAATTTACGATCGGGCAAGAAGCAGGAAGCAAGTGGCAAGTGGGACTCTCAGTACCTTTATAATATAGTAGGTGGTGTTTGCCTTCTTTGGTTTCAGTAAGAACTTTTGGGCGATCATCCCATCTTCGACACTTGAAAACATTTTCCAGGAGTGATCTTGGTGTGGTTTACTCAGTCTAAGGCCATTCATTCCTTAAGGCTGGCCAAGCATTTGTTTTGCAGATTTTTCTTCTTAGAAAAATTTAGGCCGTGTTAGGTATAATAATTCCAACTAATTTTTTTTGTTGTTTTTTTGAGACAGACTCTCGCCCTGTTGTCCAGGCTGGAGTGCAATGGCGCGATCTTGGCTCACTGCAACCTCCGCCTCCCAGGTTCAAGCGATTCTCCTGCCTCAGCCTCCGGAGCAGCTGGGATTACAGGCACCCGCCACCACGCCCGGCTAATTTTTGTATTTTCAGTAGAGAAGGGGTTTCACCATGTTGGCCAGGCTGGTCTGGAACTCCTGACCTTGTGATCCACCCTCAGCCTCCCAAAGTGCTGGGATTACAGGCGTGAGCCACCGCGCCCGGCCAATTCCAACTAATTTTTTTTTTTTTTTTTATTATATGGGGAAGGTTACTCAGTCATTCAACAAACATTTGGGCACTTCCACAGGTACACCAAATACTGTGCTAAGCACCTGCTGCTCATCAATAGTGATTAAGACAGACTCAAGCCCTATCCTAGAAGATTTGATAGTCCAGTAGGGGAGGCAGACAACAAATACATAAATATAAAAATATAAACACTTTGCTTTAAGGGTTAGGAATGAAACCAACAGATTGTTGAGACAGAGGATACAGTACCGGTAGGGGACATAGTCAGGGTGATCAGGAACAACTTCCCTCGCAAGGTGACATTCGAGCGAAGACTTACAGGAGGAGAAAGGCGCCAGGCCTCGGAAATGGGGTCACGTTCATGTAAGTCAGTTAAAAATAAACCCCAATCTCTCCAGCAGCAAGGTTGGACGTATGGGGCCAAGAAGCCTCGCTGCCAGCACTAAAGATGGCGCGCCGGAGTGGGGGTGGGGGTGTTGGGGGAGGCGGGGCGTGCGCGCGTTCTGATTGGCCGACCGGGGAGTGACGTCACGTGTCGGCCGCCGAGCATCCGGGCTCCCGGCAGCGGCGCTGCGGCGGCTCGCGGGAGACGCTGCGCGCGGGGCTAGCGGGCGGCGGAGCGGACGGCGACGGGGCGCTCTCGGGCTGCCGGCGGGGCCGAGCGCCGCGCGTCCCGAGCATGGCAGGCTCCCTGCCTCCCTGCGTGGTGGACTGTGGCACCGGGTAAGAGCAGCTCGGCGCCCACCCCCGCTCCTCCGCGGCCCCGCTCCCGGCCCCTGGCGTCCACCTCGCCTGGAGGTCGAGCTGCGTCCGTCGCCCCGGGCTTGAGCCCCGCGATCACCTGGGCAGGTGGGGCGCCGGCCGCCGCTTCCCTCCAAGCCTTGCCTTGACGTCGTAAAACCCCCTCTTCCCTGCCGGGAAGGGCCACAAGAGGAAAAGCACGGAGGGTAGGGACGCGGTGCCCACTCTGAGCGAGCCCGGCGCTCCTCGCCTCCCCCGCCCACGTGGCCGGGCCCCTGGACCCGCAGCCCGGCTCCGGCCGTCGCCGGGGTGGACACCCTGAGGGACACCGGGAGCGCGGGATCTCCCCTCCTAGGAATATTCGCCAGCGTGAGGCACAGATCATCACTGCAGATCCTTTAACGTCACTCATCTCCTAGTGAACGGTGTCCCTGCCTTCCAGCGTTCTCAGCACTGGCCCTCGTTCTGTCCCCGCGTGTGCGTGTCATTCCTCCTGGCTGAGGATTCTTTACCACCTACTTGTGGAGAGAATAGCATCGATCTCCCAACTTGATACCATTTTTACTGCCCTCCCTGCGCTTTTCCAGTATGAAATGGCACACTCAGGCCAAGCTGTCCCTTTGGTTTGCATAGATTTGCCTTTTCGCTGAAAAATGATGTGTTTAAAAAGACTCCATTTTGAAAAATACCCTAAATTTGGGAGAGCATGTTTGTGGAATTGTGGTAGAGGTTTTTGTTTTTAACTTTTTGAGTGTGACCACTTCTTTCGTTGCCGTTAAGCTATTAAAAAGAGATCTTAGGAAATGCCCTGAAGTATCGGTGACCCAAGTTAGCTGGTTGTAGTAAGGTGATTGCTGAATCCATGTAGCTGGTAGTTTGGGAATACAAGCTTGCCTGCCTGCGTTATGGGTGTAGTGCTTAGTAAAATAGCCTGGAAGTAAATTTGGTCTCTTAGCGATTTTTTTCAAGAAGGGATTTTAATCATTTTTGCCACAAAATGTAACATGGCATGTTCACCTTACCCTTGATTCTTTTCTATAGAAAAATGCACTTGGTTTGGTTTCCTTGACAACCTTGTGGGGGTGCCTTCTTTAGTTTGCTACAGTCCATCTCCTACTGTTAGTTCCTTCCTTTTGCTGCTGAAGCGACCAGAAGTGGTTGTGGACTGGAAAAATCCTCTTTGCTTGTGTGAATTCTTTTTGAAATACACGTCATATCAAGCTTTGTAGCTCTTTATTTTAGAACTTGCTTTTCTACCTAAAACACAAGCCAAAATCAGCGTTGTCGATACTACAGCTCCCCTCCCTCAATTATTGACACCCTTAACTCATGCCCTCCCCCAATGGGTTCACCTCAGGTCCCCTCAGGTCTGGTTGTGTCAAGAGTGAAACCAGTGGGTGAAAGTATTTTTCATTTCCACATTTGCATGTGAGATTTTTGCTTTGTAGTTTTAGTCTTGCAGAACTATTAAAATATAAAGGAATTCTTGGTAGTAGCAATAAAATAATGCTCACAGAGTTGTCATACCTTTAAGATTAGTAAGTCGTGGACCTTACTCATCTTTCTTGCTATAAATACCTAAAATGTCGTGCTCAGTTTTGACCTTTTGAGGTAAGTGATTAATGTAACTTGGCTAACTTGGAGATTCAACTTCTATAGATCATTGTTTTGTGGCCCAAAGTCATGCTTCAGAAGTTGGTGTCAAGACTTAGAAACGGTGGCAGGGAATCTCCATATGAATTCCCCATATCGAGTGTATGGCCAGAAGGAGCCTGAAAGAGCCCGAATTTACCAACTTGAGCACATCAGTAGTTCTTACATTTCCCAGAGAGCCAAAATGATTTTTGGATTTAGTTTTGCCTCAAAATAGGACAAAAAGTGGTAAAATTCAGATAAAAATAACCAAGCCAAAGGAAAAGAACGGACCTAGGAAGTCACCCTGAGCTTTAGCCCAGTGGCTGCTGAAGTTGGTCCGCACATTCGACCTTAGTCTTCCTGTCTGACAACATCATAAGAGTCATGGTTATGTAATTCCTGTCATCAGAAATCAAGAGAAATACCTGTTTCTTGGGTGAAAAAAGCCTTTTTTTGTAGTACTAAATTGTAAAAGCATTGAGCTATACATAGTGGGCACTAATGATTTATTGGACAGTGTGATAAACAGTATTTTTTACAAATAAATTTCATCCCAGTATCCTTGAATCCTCCTCAGGTAAACCCCGAGACTACCTGAGTAAGCAGTGATGTGCTGGAGGCCAGGATAATATGGACAAAGGGATCTGCTGAGTCCAAAAATAAAGCTTCATCTATTTAAAGGGATGACTAGGCTGCATAGTTTTCAGAGAATATTTCACAACTCCGGTCTCACTTCTCTGAGCCAAACTTTTCAAATGAAGTCTTTTGCATTTTTCAACTTTTTTTGAAATAATTTCAAATCTACTGAAAGCTGGAAGAGAACAAAAAACTACTGTATACTCTTCTTCCAGTTTTACCAACTGTTAACATTTGCTTTGTCACTCTCTGTATGTCCATACATATTATTATTACTTTCCTGCACTGTTTGAGAGTAAGTTGCAGAGATCATACCCTTTTATATCAAAATACTTGAATGCGTACTTTCTGAGGACACATTTTCCCTTCTAGAATCACATTCCAATCATCAAAATCAGAAAATTTAACATACATACAGTAGTATCCTATATACAGTATGGATTCATGTCTTTTATGGAATGTCACCCATGAAAGACCTCCCCATCAGCGGCATACATTGCATCTGGTGGGTGTCATGTCTTTTAAGTCTAATTTAATCTGGAATAATTTCTTAACCTTTTTTTGTCTTTCAAGATGTTGGCATTTTTGACAGCCAGTTGTTACCTAGTGTTTCTCTGTGATAGATACAGGATATGCATATTTGTCAGGACTACCACAGAAGTCCTGTTGATCCTTCTTAGTGCATCCCATCGAAAGGCTTAAGATAGGGACTCGCCTCAGTCTTGATGAAGTTCACTTGGATCATTTGGAGAGGGTGATGTCCACGAGGTTTCTTCACTGTTCAGTTACTATTTTTCTTTGTAATTAATAAGTCATTTGGCTGGGCGCGGTGGCTCATGCCTGTAATCCCAGCACTTTGGGAGGCCGAGGCGGGCGGATCACCTGAGGGCAGGAGTTCGAGACCAACCTGGCCAACATGGTGAAACCCCGTCTCTACTAAAAATACAAAAATTAGCTGGGTGTGGTGGTGCGTGCCTGTAGTCCCAGCTGCTTTGGAGGCTGCTCAGGAGAATCACTTGAATCCGAGAGGCGGAAGTTGCAGTGAGCCGAGATCGGGCCACTGCACTCCAGCCTGGTGACAGAGCGAGACTCCATCTCAAAAAAAAAAAAAAAAAAAAAAAAAAAAAAGTCATTTGTGGGGGAATATTTTATGTAAGTACTCTATTCTTAAACTTTCATCCATTAGTTTAAGTATCCATTGGTGACTCTTGTTTTTTTCTTTTTTTTTGACAGAATCTTGTTCTGTTTCCTAGGCTGGAGTGCAGTGGCACAATCTCTGCTCACTGCAACCTCTGTCTCCCAGGTTCAGGGAATTCTCCTGCTTCAGCCTCATGGGTAGCTGGGATTACAGGCATGAGCCACCATGCCCGGCTAACTTTTTGTATTTTTGGTAGAGACGGGATTTCATCATGTTGCCCAAGCTGGTCTTGAATCCTGATCTCAAGCAATCCACCCGCCTTGGCCTCCCAAAGTGCTGTGATTACAGGCGTGAGCCACTGTGCCTGGCCCATTGGTGATTCTTGCCTGAATTACTAATTATGGTGATGGTTGCAAAATGGTGATTTTTGAACTCTATTATTCTGTCTCCATTTATTAGTTAACATTTTATTTTAAGGAAGAACTTATCCATAGGCCTCATTTGTTTATTGTCTGTATGAGTTGTCGTTCTGTTCAAAGAATGATAATCCATTATGCCGTCCTCATTGTTGTCAGTGGGTTATCTATTGCTTAAATTGTCCCAGATTTTGCCAAGTGAAGCTCATTCAGGCTGACTCCCATGTTCTTTATTTTTTATTTATTTATTTTTTGAGACGGAGTCTTGCTGTGTTGCCCAGGCTGAAGTGCAGTGGTGTGACTTCAGCTCACTACAACCTCTGCCTCCCGGGTTCAAGCGATTCTCCTGCCCCAGCCTCCTGAGTAGCTGGGATTATAGGTGTACACCACCACGCATGGCTGTTTTTTTGTATTTTTAGTAGAGATGGGGTTTTGTCATGTTGGCCAGGCTGGTCTTGAACTCCTAACCTCAGGTGATCTGCCCACCTCTGCCTCCCAAGGTGTTGGGATTACAGGAGTGAGGCACTGCACCTGGCCTTCCATGTTCTTTAGACATGTCTTCATTTTTTGAGCATTCTGGCCAGGCGCAGTGGCTCACACCTGTAGTCCCAGCACTTTGGGAGGCCGAGGATGTGGATCACGACCCGTGGTCAGGAGATCGAGACCATCCTGGCTAACACGGTGAAACCCCGTCTCTACTAAAAAAAAAAAGAAATACAAAAAAATTAGCCGGGCACACTGGTGGGCTAATTTTAGTAGTCCTAGCTACTCAGGAGGCTGAGGCAGGAGGATCGCTTGAACCAGGAGGCGGAGGTTGCAGTGAGCTGAGATCGCGCCACTGCACTCCAGCCTGGCAACAGCGAGACTCCATCTCAAAAAAAAAAAAAAAGAAAAAATAAAGCAAGGATATCTTTTTGTATTTTTTGCCTGAGTATCTGTGGCTTAGATTTTTAGAAATGGGATTTCTGGGTCAAAGGGCAAATGCATATGTAATTTTGCTAGGCAGTGTCAAATTACACTCATTAGTGTGCATTCTCACCAGTAATGTGTGAGGATGCCTGTGTCTTACAGACTCACCAATAGAGCCTATTGCCAATTTGTAAAATTACCAACCTAGAATAAATGATATCTTAATGTCTTTGTTTTGTGTTGCTGTAACAGAATACCACACACCGGGTAATTTATAAAGAAAAGAATAGAATGGTGAAGGTGACAGCAGTTAGTTGGAGTGAGCATCCTCCAAAGTTCTACAGTGTGGCCGAGGACCTTGATTGTACATTGTTCTTTATTTTACTTATTTATTTTTATTTTTGTTTTGAGACTGGGTCTTACCCTGGCCCTTTTTTTTTTTTTTTTTTTTTTCCGGAGACAGAGTTTTGCTTTCATTGTTCAGGCTGGAGTAGAATGGCGCGATCTTGGCTCACCACAACCTCCGCCTCCCGGGTTCAAGTGATTCTCCTGCCTCAGCCTCCCAAGTAGCTGGGATTACAGGCATGCGCCACTATGCCCGGCTAATTTTGTATTTTTAATAGAGACGGGGTTTCTCCATGTTGGTCAGGCCAGTCTTGAACTCCTGACCTCAGGTGATCTGCCTGCCTGGGCCTCCCAAAGTGCTGAGATTACAGCCATGAGCCACTGCGCCTGGCTTTTTTTTTTTTTTTTTAAATAGTCATTCCACATATTGTGAGATGCATTGTTACAGGAAGTCCCTTGCCCTCCCAAAAGCCACCCCACTTCTCTCAGGAGAACGGCCCAGTTCTCTCCTGAGTCCACAAAGGGGAGGTTACAGGATTGCTTTCATGTAAATTATGTAATGCAACATTTAAAAAAATCTTCACCTTAATACTTTTTGTTTTATTTTGAATAATCAGCTATCATGGTCCCCATTTTTGTCCCTACCTTGAGATGTATGAAGGCTTTTGGTCTCCCTGGGAGTGGGTGGAAGTGTGGAGGCATCCAGGGCATACCTGTACACTGACTTGAGACCAGTTCAGTAAAAGTGCACACCTTAAAAAAAGAAAAAAAAAAGTTTATTTGGCTCACAGTTCTGGAGGCTGCAGAGTCTTAGAGCATGGTGCCAGCATCTAATGAGGCCCTGCGTGCTGTGTCATCCCATGGCGGAAGAAGGAAGGGCAAGAGTGGGTGAGATTGTGAGCACGAGAGAAGGCTGAACTTCATATTTTAACAACCCACTTTCATGATTATGATAATCTTCGCATTTATTTTTTTCGGTCTCTTCATTTCTCTAACTTTTCTCTGGGGTTTTGGTCTTTTGCTTCTTCATTTTTAGAAGCTCTTCATGTATTAAGGTCTGTTCAGGGGTTCCGCAGACCACTCCCAGTTCCAGTGACTTGCTAGGAGGAATCAGGACTACGGTGAAAATGTACAAAGCAAAAACAGCCAAGGGAAAAGATGTGGGGTGGAGCCTAGAGGAAACCGGGGCAAGCTTCCCGAGTCCTCACCCAGTGCAGCCGTGCAGGATGCAGTTAATTCCTCCAGCATCAGGCTGTGACAACACGTGTGCAATGCTCCGTACCAGGGAAGCTCCTCAGAGACACAGGGCCCAAGGTTTTCACTGGGGACTTGTCATGCAGGCACCCTGTGCATAGCACGTGCCGGAATTCCAGAGTCCCAGAAGGAAAGCAAGGCATTGGCATAAACCACGTTGTTTGCCACTCTAGGAGCAGTGAACTACTTTTAGCATTTAGGGAATGGTGGGAACGCCTGAACTCCAAGATCCTAGATACCAATTAAAGGCCATTCCTCCAAGCAGGACTTTCTAAGAGACAGCAGTCTCAGGCCCATTAACTTTCTTCTGCACATAGAGAATATTAACCCTTAATGATATACGTTGCAAATATATTTCCCCTATTTATCATTTGTCTTTTACCATGCAAAGTTTGTTTTCTTTAGGCAATCGGATTTATTCATCTTTTCTTTATTGTTTCTAGATTTTGAGTCATAGTTAAGAAAGGTTTTTTTCATTCCCAGATTACATGGTGGTTTCTTTTCTTCTTTTTCTTTTCTGTTTTTTTGAGACAGAGTCTCACTCTGTTGCCCATGCTAGAGTGCGGCGGCACAGTCTCCACTCAGTGCAACCTCCACCTCCTGGGTTCAAGCGATTCTCCTGCTGCAGCCTCCCGAGTAGCTGGGACTACAGGTGCATGCCACCACATCGGGCTAATTTTTGTATTTTTAGTAGAGAAGGGGGTTTTACCATATTGGTCAGGCTGATCTCAAACTCCTGACCTCAGGTGATCCACCTGCCTCGGCCTCCCAAAGTGCTGGGATTATAGATGTGAGCCACTGTGCCCAGCTGGTAGGTTTTTTTTTTTTTTTTAATGGTTTCATTTTTTTCATTTAAATCTCTAATTCATTTGGAATTTATCCTGAGATAAGGTATGAAGAATGGACCCAGTTGGATCCACTTTTGTGTGTGTGTGGCTATGGCTGTCCTGTTTATCTCAACATAATTTATGGAAAAAACCCAATGACTGGAGATGCTGCCTTTATCATATGCTGCATTTGTCTATGCAATTGTGTTTCTTTCTGGATTTTGTATTGTGTTGAGTTAGTCTATTGGTCTGTTCATAATAGCAGCACCACACAGTTTTAATTAGGCTCTTTAGAATGATTTCATTTCTAATGGTGCCGGCTTCCCCTGCCCATCTAATTCCTTTTTAGGGCTTTCCCATGTATTTTCGATTGTTGTTCCTCCAAGTGATCTTTGTAATCAGTTTCTCTAGTTCTGGGAGAGAAAGCCTGATGGCATTTTTATTGGGATTTTATTAAACTTAAAAATTAATTTAATGAGCATCATTATCTGTATAATACTGAGTCTTCCCATCAAAGAACATGGTTTATCTCTCCATTAGTTCAAGTCTATTTTGTGTCTTTTAGGAATATTGTGGTGTTTCTGCAGGTAGATTTCTTGTTAACTTTATGTATTTGATTTTTTTTTGCTATCATAAATGGTGCCTTCTCTTCCATTTTATCTTGTTTTTCTTGAATATATGAAGATTGTTAGTTTTTTCATTCCTAGATTACATGGTGGTTTTTCATGGTAGTTACTCATTTTATAACGTGCTGCTTTACAGAATGCTCATATTATTTGTATAAATTTTTCCCTTGATCCCTAGGGATTTTCAGATATAAAAACTTGTCATTGGGCCTGGCGCAGTGGCTCACACCTGTAATTGCAAGCACTTTGCGAGGCCGAAGCAGGCAGATCACTTGAGGCCAGGAATTTGAGACCAGCTTGGCCAACATGGCAAAACCCTGTCTCTTCTAAAAATACAAAAAAATTAGCTGGGCGTGGTGGCACACGCCTGTAATCCCAGCTACATGGGAGGTTGAGGCAGGAGACTCGTTTGAACCTGGGAGGCGGAGGTTGCAGTGAGCTGAGATTGAGCCACTGTACTCCAGCCTGGGCAACAGAGCCAGACGCTGTCTCAAAAATAAAAACCAAAACCTGTTATTGGCAAAAGAGATTGTTTTACCTCTTCCTTTCCATTTTTAGGGACTCTTAACTGCTTTTTTATTGACACAGTGCAGAGGCCATTACCTCCAAAGCAATGTTAATTTAAATCAGAGTGGAGTTAGTGGGCATTATTATTTTATTCCTGATTTTAGTGGGATAGTTCTGGTGTTTGTTTGTTTGTTTGTTTGTTTTCACTTATTGTGGCCTAAGAGGGTTTGCGAATGTTCTTTGTATTCATTTTTTTGAGTCAGAGTTTCACTCTTGTTGCCCAGGCTGGAGTGCAATGGAGCGATCTCGGCTCACTGCAACCTCCACCTCCTGGATTCAAGCAATTCTCCTGCCTCAGCCTCTCAAGTAGCTGCAATTACAGGCGCCCGCCATCACGCCCAGCTAATTTTTTATATTTAGTAGAGACGGGGTTCCACCATGTTGGCCAGGCTGGTCTCGAACCCCTGACCTCAGGTGAGCCACCCACCTTGGCCCCTCAAAGTGCTGGGATTACAGGCATGAGCCACCGCGCCTGGCTAGGAGATACAATCTTTATAAGTTCTGAGTTTAATGTGTCTATATGAACTACCTTATTAATTATGTTATTTAGGGCTTCCAATTTTTTTTTTTAATTGAGACCGAGTCTCCTTCTGTCGTACAGGCTGGAGTGCAGTGGCGTGATGTCGGCTCACTGCAACCTCCACCTCCTGGGTTCAGGCAGTTCTTTGCCTCAGCCTCCCGAGGAGCTGGGATTATAGGCACCCGCCACCATGCCTGGCTAATTTTTGTGTTTTTAGTAGAGACGGGGTTTCTCCATGTTGGCTAGGCTGGTCTCGAACTCCTGACCTCAGGTGATCCACCCGCCTCTGCCTCCTAAAGTGCTGGGATTACAGGGGTGAGCCACCATGTCTGGGCTCACATTTTTGTGTGTGTGTGTACCTAGTCTGTCATGGACTGAGAATGGCATACTAAGGCCTCCTATTGTTAGTAACCTATTAAGGTCTCCTCGCATTTTCTGTGGGTTCTGCTTTATGAAAGTTGTTGCTGCCATATTGGTTATCTAGATAGAAATAACTTGTCTCTTCACTAGAGTTGTTGATTTAGCATATCAAGTAGCCTTCTAATTGTTTTCTCAGCCGAGTTGTACTTTGTCAGATATCAAGATGTGTGATCCCTGCTTGCTTCTCCTTGTGTTTGTCTGATATAGATATATATATATTTCTCCATCCTTTTATTATTCTTTCTGAATTGTCTGTACCCAAAATATTGTTTTGCTTTTTAGTCAATATGAAAATGTTGCCTTTTGTTGGATGACTTAAGCTCATTTATACTCATAGATAGGTGATTTAAGCATATTTATATGTATTGATATGATTGATATATTTGGCCTCAGTTTTGCAATATTTACATATATATGTATTTAAACATCTTTTGCCATGTAGTCCATTTTATTTTATTAATATCTTTTTTGGTGCACTTTAGGGCAGACTGTATTTTTGTCTAATTGTTATCATTATATATAGTCCTTTTATTTGTGGCTGTTTTCTGTTGGCTCCCAACTATGAGTAATTATGAAATTAGCTTGCATCTCTTCTTCCTCTCTCCCTTTCTCCGTTTCAGCATCTGATTTGTAAAAAAAAAAAAAAAGCCTTTTACTTCTAATTAAAAAAATTATTAGTAGTCAACAAATTTATTATATTTTATGTGCATTCTTTTCATGTTGCATTGGACCTGTATTGATAGAGGACAGAGCCATAAATTACTATACTCTTTCCCTTACAACTGCCATAAAAGCTTCATTTAGGAAAAGTTCTCTGTAGCATTGATTTTACCATATGTCTTATATCCTTTTCATACTAAAAGATTCTTTAATAGTTTATTGGGCATATGGTGCTATAAATATACATTCATGTAACACTACTTCCTGGAACCTCCTAAAAATGAACAAAACTAACCAAAAATAGAGAAGAAAACAGCTAAAATTCATATCACATTTTATGAAATTTCCAGTGAAGTGTGGATCCATTTGCAGGAGGATACAGAGATGTGGCATCCCCGCCCATCTCTGGCTGGTTGCAGGTGTCTAAGCATAGGTTTCTGAAGGTACTACTCACAGTCGTTACAGCAGAGCTAGGAGCTGATGGATGAATAGACCATTGCCAAAGAAGCATATTCTGGCAGCAGCTCCTTTCCATCCTAAAATATAGCAGGGCATGCTGGGCTGAAAGAGGGATCATGTAGTAATGGTGTCATTATGTTCTTTGACTTTGTTTGACTAAAGGAGAAAATCTGTGAGGATGACCAGCTTATATCTGATCAGGAATTGCTAATATCTAAGATAAGGCATTTCCCCTTAAACCCGCCTGTCCTCCACAATGAACTTTGGAATTAGATATACGCCCAGAACAAAGGATTTAGTAGAATTAGTGGGAAAGTATACCCAAGTTCAGGCTCTGATTGCTCACTGTTCAGCCAATTCTTCTAAACAACCAGAGGACTACACAGAGATTTCAAGACATTGTATTCAGTGTCATTGTAAGCATGGCAACGAGTTGTTGTTGAGCAAGCAGGTCCAGGGAGACCTGCACCCATTCAAAGCTGAGTGTGAAGCAGAAAGGACCCATCATGGGACTATGCACAGAAAATAAGGAAGGAAACATAACAAGCAAAAATAGATGAAAAAGTATACTTTGGAAAGAGTACTTCAGTAATTAGAATGGAATTTTATTTTTTTTTCATTTTTTGAGACAGAGTCTCGCTCTGACACCCAGGCTGGAGTGCAGTGGCTTGATCTCGGCTTACTGCAACCTCTGCCTCCTGGGTTTAAGCCATTCTCCTGCCTCAGCCTCCCGAGTAGCTAGGATTACAGGTGCCTGCTACCATGCCTGGCTAATTTTTGTATTTTTAGTAGAGATGGGGTTTCACCATGTTGGCCAGGCTGGTCTTACTTCAGGTGATCTGCCTGCCTCAGCCTCCCAAAGTGCTGGGATTACTGGTGTGAGCCACTGTGCCTGGCTAGAATGGAATTTTAGATAAAGCCACTTTGCTCTTAAATTTAGACAACATGAGCTCAATAAAACAAAAGAACAAAGAAGTAATTTTAAAAGATTAAAGAAAGCTAAAAGGAGGACATGGAGGTCAGCTGACATCCATAAGGAAAGAAATAGAAAACTAAAATCATTTCAGGAATTAAAAGCATGTTGGAGGTTACATGAGGTAGTACCAGTGGTTCTGAAATCACTGATGTGAGGATCAACTTCCTGAAATTACGTAGACCACGGTAGGAAAGAACAAAGAGGTCATGGTGATTAGAGAGAAGATTGAAGCTGTGGGAGAAGAATCCAGAAGGCATCTACTGTAGTCAGAGCTGGTGTTCCTGCTGAAGAGAACAGAGTGTGTGGAACAGATGTAACATTAATAAATAAAAGACAAAGTTTTCCTGGAATATAATGAAAGATCATATAATATTAATATAAGGACTCACTGTGAACTGTAAAAAATTCAGAGTCATTAAAATGGAAGCGTATCCTGGTTAATTTATAAAACCTGAAAGATAGGCCGGGCACGGTGGCTCGTGCCTATAATCCCAGCACTTTGGGAAGCCGAGGTGGGCAGATCACCTGGGGTCAGACCAGCTGACCAACATGGAGAAACCCCATCTCTACTAAAAATACAAAATTAGCCAGGTGTGGTGGTGCATGCCTGTAAATCCAGCTACTCGGGAAGCTGAGGCAGGAGAATCGCTTGAACCTGGGAGGCAGAGGTTGAGGTGAGCCAAGATCACGCCATTGCACTTCAGCCTGGGCAACGAGAGTGAAACTCCATCTCAAAAACAAAACAAAACAAACCCCTGAAAGATAAAAGAATACTACACATATTTAAGCAGGAAAAAAGCCAACAGGCCACCTATAATGGAAAAAATAAAATCACCTTAGTCTTGGGGTTTTCAACAGTGTAATGTGCCAAAAGATGATGAAGCAATGCTTAAGAATGTAGGGGGACTGGGCACAGTGGCTAATGCCTGTAATCCCAGCACTTTGGGAGGCCAAGGCAGGAGGATTGCTTGAGCCCAGGAGTTGGAGAACAGCCTGGGGAACATAGCAAGACCCTGTCTCTGTCCCCCTGCCCCCTAAAAGAAAAAGCCAGGTGTGGTGATGCGTGCCTGTGGTGTCAGTAACCTGGGAGGCAGAGGTGGGAGGATGGTGTGGATCTAAGAGTTCAAGGTTACAGTGAGTTGTGACTGCGCCACTGCACTCCAGCCTGGGTGACAAAGCGAGACTCTGGCTCAAAAGGAAAAAACAAGAGTAGGGGAGTTAGGGCAAGAAGGAAGACAATGTGATTGGATTGAAATGTCATTAAAATGCAGCATAATAAGACATTTGCAAATGGGCAAAAGCTCAGGAATTAATGGCATTCATAAACCTCACTGAAAAATCTACTTGCAGATATAACCCAGCCAACTGAAAGATGAATCAGTGAGGGCTCCAGAAATAGAAAGGTTGAAGTATAAAGATACCAGCTTCAATAATTGAATAATCTTTCTTGGAGAAATAAGCCAGAAGGCAAAAACAATTGAATAAATACCGACTCAACCTTAAAAATGTCAACACAATGATAACATGCCATAGCAAAATTTCCTGAAAGTCAACAATATCATGGGGGATTAGGTTAGGTTTGGGCTGGGGAGTGGGAGATACCACTGTGCTAATTGTCGTATCTTTCAGAATATGTAGTTAAGGAATACTGTTTCATTTTTTTGAAATTGATAAATTGAGAAGGCTATTATGCTAAAAACAGACTTTGTATACCTTTGAAATGTAAAAGTAAAATTGAGAGGAAGAAAAGCAACCAAATAAAATAGATTACAGAGTAAAAGGAAACAGGCAACAACAAGGAATAGTACAAAAGTTAAAACAAGAGTAAGACTGTTGCACCTGAGATGACCTCACCTGGCATGGACTCAACTAAATTCACTTTCTGTACTAAACAAAAACTATGGTAGTTACATATAAGTCATTCATTCAGAAAGTAAAAGGTTGGAAAAAAATTCAAAAAAGAAAGTAAAAGGGGCCAGACGCAGTGGCTCACGCCTGTAATCCCAGCACTTTGAGAGGCCGAGGTGGGTGGATCACTTGAGGTCAGAGTTCGAGACCAGCCTGGCCAACATGGTGAAACCCCGTCTCTACTAAAAATACAAAAATTAGCTGGGTGTGGTGGTGGATGCCTGTAATACCAGCTACTCAGGAGGCTGAGGCAGGAGAATCGCTTGAACCCGGGAGGTGGCAGTTGCAGGGAGTGGAGATCATGATACTGCACTCCAGCCTGGGCAACAGAGTGACTCTGTCTCTAAAAAAAAAGCAAAAGGATGGTTCAAAAATAAGCCAAGCAAATGCACAGTAAAAGAAAGCGTGAGTATTATTTGATTGCAAAACAAAAAAAAATTAAATGAAACAAGGGTTTAATTGTTATTTTTTTGGTTTATTTAAAAATGTTTGATTTTATCATTGTACTCTGACCCTGCCAGTTAACTGTGGGTGCAGAGAACCTTTGCTTTACACATTCCAGAAAACTTCTGGAGAAGGCTGAAGCCAGGGAGGAGCAAGTGCCCAGCAGTGTGGGGCGGGAGAGGGTCTCACCATGGCCTGAGTATTTTGGGCTGTCCACACTTGCTCCTCAGCCCTCCTATTCCAGTCCCACAGGTACCTGGGCACCAACGAGTTCCAGAGCCTTTAAGGATCTAGGGAGTGTGTTGGGCTCGTTCTCAGCTCTTGCCCCTGCTGTCTTTCTTATATCTCTAAAGTCAGGCACGATGGGTCCTCAGCTTTTCAGGGCCAAAATCTTGCTGTTGTCACCTTTTCTTTTCTCCACATCCTCATGGTTTAATATTGCTTTAAAATTTTTTTGTTGTTGTTTTTTGAGATGGAGTTTTGCTCTTGTTGCCCAGGCTGGAGTGCAATGGCGTGATCTCAACTCACTGCAACCTCCGCCTCCTGGGTTCAAGCGATTCTGCTGTCTCAGCCTCCCGAGTAGCTGGGATTACAGGCATGCGCCACCGCACCCGACTAGTTTTGTATTTTTAGTAGAGATGGGGTTTCTCCCTGTTGGCCAGCCTGGTCTCGAACTCCCGACCTCAGGTGATCCGCCTGCCTCGGCCTCCCGAAGTATTGGGATTACAGGTGTGAGCCACTGCACCTGGCCTACATTTTTTTTTTTTAATTTTTAAAATAATTGCTTAAAATTTTGTTTTGCTTTGGTTTTAGTGGGGCTTTGGGAAAGAGTGAAATTAGATAATATGTTTAGTCCATCATTTAAACAGTTAAAACACTTTTAAAACACTTTAACTGGAAGTCAGAGTTTACCTTACAATAATGTTCAGAATCCACAAAAGGGCAGTGTGCTTTATGATCTTATATATACGAAGTAACATAGAGAAAAAAAAAGTACTCAGAAGGAGAAATAGAAAATTTAAGGACAGGCAAAGATACTGGATTTGGATAAAATATTTAAGTTTGAACTTTATATATTGAATTCTTCGTTCTATAGAGACTATGCTTTTCTATGAAACAAGCCAAGGAGCATTAAAAAATTGGTCATGTAATTTACATTGCACAATATGGAGATTGTGCGTTGCTTTAAAACTATTGTTAGGGTCTGGGAACAATTTTACTTTTATCAAAGCCATATTTAAACTGTGAAAAATCTTAGGAGGGAGTAGAGCTATTATGATTGAAGTTTGGGGTTTGAGACTGGACCTCACCAGGGGTCTCAATCAAAAGAACTTCTCACAGGACACAGTTTGAGAACACCAGCCAGGCATGGTGTCGTGCACCTATAGTCTTGGCCACTCAGGAAGTTGAGGCAGATGATTGCTTGAGGCCAGGAGGTCAATGCTGCAATGAGCTATGATTGCACCACTGCACTCCAGCCTGGGTGACAGAGTGAAACCCTGTCTCAAAAAAAAAAAAAAAAAAAAAAAAAAGATGTAAAACACTGTTTTAAGATGTAACATTTGTACTTTCAAACATAAATTAATTGACCTTAGGGTCATTACCTTCTGCTTAAGACACATGGTTGGAAGAGCAGTTTCAATTATATATAAATATGTTGAGTCAACAGTAGGTTAATTTTCATGACTTTGCAGAACTGAAAAGTCTACATATTACTGCTGTCAAAAGATAGGAGCATTTAACAAGTAAAGTGGAAGAGTCTTCGTGCAAGGACTGTTTAAAATGTTTGGGGCAGGCTGGGCGTGATAGCTCAGCCTGTAATCCCAGCACTTTGGGAGGCCGAGGCGGGCAGATCACCTAAGGTCGGGAGTTTGAGAGCAGCCTGACCAACATGGAGAAACCCTGTCTCTACTAAAAATACAAAATTAGCTGGGCGTGGTGGTGCATGCCTGTGGTCCCAGCTACTCAGGAGGCTGAGGCAGGAGAATCGCTTGAACCCAGGAGGCGGAGGTTGCAGTGAGCCAAGATCACGCCATTGCACTCCAGCCCGGGCAACAAGAGCGAAACTCCGTCTCAAAAAAAAAAAAAATTGGGGGCAAATAATAATATATTGTATGTACAGAGAGAAGCATTGGAAAGATACACAGGAATAGAAGGTGGATAGAAGGCAGAAATGAGGTAGTGTAAGACTTCTTAAGGGATACCTTTTTATATTGCTTTGAATTTTGAGCTATAACATATTCTTTGCTTAAAAGGCAGACGTGTAACTATTGGTAGTGCTTTATGCAGCTATTGATTGGGTCTGCTTCCATAGCTTCCTCTTCTGTCTTTCCTGATTTCTGTATGAGAAAAGGTCTCAGACAAGTTAAGGGACTCATGGAAGGTGGTGTGAGTTTGAGAACATGGCTGGCAATCTGTAAGTATAGTTTATGTATTTTTGAGAGTAGTGCCTACCTCCATCATGCTAGCTTTGGGAAGGTAGTGTTAAAAAAACCAAGGGCTTTTAATGCAAAGTTGATGGTCTTGAATGCTTATATACATATGTTTGGGAAAATTGGATTAGTGTAGTTCTTCCCATTTGGGATAAAATATATATATATAAAAGTGGAAGAGAAATGATATGACATTTTAGCATATAGAGGGACTTTCAAAGTAGAAACATAATAAAGGAAATTATTCAGGAAAATAATTGGTAGATTTGATCACCTGGACTGTTTAAATACTTATATTGCAGAAAATGTATAACAAGGTAAACAACAAGCTGGGAAAAATTAGCAATGTAATGAGCAAGCACAAATATCCTCAGTGTATAAGCATTCACACAAATTGATAAGAAGCACTAAAACTCCAGTAGAAAAGTTATCCAAGGACAATTCATGAGAGAAATAGAGATCACTAGTATACAAAAAATAATATTCAGTAATAAGTAAATAAATCACTGCACCATGAAATCCTACTTCTTTTGAATTAGGAAATATTATCCAAAAATGGCAACATTTAACACTGAGGTAGGGATTATTACCCAGGTTTTAGAGATGAAGAAACCAAGGAATGAAGGGATTAATTTACTTGCCTGAAATCACATAGCTGGTGCTGGGATTTGAACCTAGCATTGTGTCCCTATTAAGCTGGCCTCACATTATAAATATATACTGTTTTCAAGCACTTTCAAGCTATATTATACATCCGTTTATGGCAGTAAGTATACATCTTCATTTTTGATGGTTGTATAGAATTTTATTGAATGGATGTAATATAATTTATTTAATATATCCTCTATTTTGCGTGTTTCCAGGTTCTGGTGGTGGTTTTGCTATTATAGTGCTTCACCGAACATTTTTGTGTGTGTATATCTTTGCATACATGTACAAATACTTATGTGGGGTAGGTTCCTAGAAAGGCACTATTTGGCTAATAGGGTATGTGCATTAAAATTTTTGATAGCTAATGTGACCCTTTATAATGGCTCTTTAACCCTTTACTATCACCTGTGTATAATTTACCACCACCTTCAGTATTAGCACCAGTTTTGAATGGCTTTGCATTAAATTTGTAGGTAGATTTAGTGATATTCAATATTTCTTTAAAAAATATTGACTCTTCCTCCTCCTGAACCAATTGACCAGAAAACAAAAAACAAAAAAAACAAAACGGACTCTTCCTGTGTAAGATTAAGGCATGTCTCTGTTTGTCTGCTTGTATGTAGAGAGTTTATTTAAAGAGCAATATTATTTTTAAGGGTAGGAGTAATAGCTTATTCATGTAGTTATGTGGTGTATTCTTAAGGGTAACATTCTATTGCTGTTGCCATTCTGAGTGGGATGTTTTCATCCATTATATGTTCTTATTGTTAGACAGGGTAGTTGTTGATTTCTGTCTATTCATTTAGTAACTGGTCATCTTTTTGAATTCCCTTATTGCTTTAGTTTTTCACTTAATCTCCTTAGTTATTCAAGGTATACAGTTATCATCTATAAAGAATGAAATTTGCCATGCGCGGTGGCTCACGCCTGCAATCCTAGCACTTTGGGAGGCCGAGGTGGATCGCCTGAGGCCAGGAGTTTGAGACCAGCCTGGCCAACGTGGTGAAACCCCGTTTTTACTAAAAATACAAAAATTAGCCGGGCGTGGTGGTGCACGCCTGTAGTCCCAGCACTCAGGAGGCTGAGGCAGAAGAATCGCTCAAACATGGGAGGTGGAGGTTGCAGTGAGCTGAGATTGTGCCACTGCACTCCAGCCTGGGTGACAGAGCAAGACTCCGTCTCAAAAAAAAAAAAAAGAATTAAATTTTAATCTCCTCTTTCTTCCCAAAATCCTTTTCATTTACTCTTTTCTTTTTGATTTGTAATATCTAATTCTTCCTAACAGTGTAAAATCAGAATAATGATAGTAGATCTCCTTGGCTTAATTCTGGCTTCAATAAGGATTCTTCTAGTGTTTCATTTTATTTTGGTTTGAGATTTTTTTTTTCTGCCATTATCTCTTCCTAAGGAATCTTTCCCTTTTTAGCTTAAGTTTTTTACTTTCCTGGATTGAGCCTAGATTTTTTTTTTTTTTTTTACTACTTATGTTTTTTTATTTATTTTTTATTTTTTTTGAGATAGAGTCTCACTCTGTTGCCCAGGTTGGAGTGCAGTGGCACCAGGGCTCAAGCGATTCTTGTGCCTCGGCCTCCTGAGTAGCTGGGACTGCGGGCACGTGCCACCATGCCCAGCTAATTTTTTGTATTTTAGTATAGAGATGGGGTTTTACCATTTTGCCCAGGGTGGTCTTGAACTCCTGAGCTCAGGTGATCCAACACCTCAGACTCCCAAAGTGCTGGGATTACAGGTGTGAGCCACTGTGCCTGGCCTTTTTTCACTACTTCTTAATTGCATAGTTTGAATTGAAAAGCATTTCCTACATTATTTTTTTTCATAGAGTACCTAAACACACAGTGTTTTAAATAATAAGACAAAATTGCTGCATTTGGTAGCTGGGCTCGGTGGCTCACACCTATAATCCTAGCACTTTGGGAGGCCAAGGTGGGAGGATCCCTTGAGCCCAAGAGTTTGAGACCAATCTGGGCAACATAGGAAGACCCCTCTGTACAAAAAATAAAAAAAAAACTTAGCCGGGTGTGATGGCCTGTGCCTGTGGTCCCAGCTACTTGGGAGGCTGAAGTGGGAGGATCACTTGAGCCCAGGAGGTTGAGGCTGCAGTGAGCCGTGATCACACCACTGTACTCCAGCCTGGGTGACAGAGTGAGACTGTGTCTCCAAAAAAAAAAAAAAAAAAAAAAAAAAAAAAAAAAAAAAAAAAGGACATATGAGTTATTTCTTCTGAACTTCTGACCAGTATTAAACTTCAGTATTATAGACATATCGTGCTAAATGTGGTGGGTGGAAGAAGGTTGTGGTATAATGTGACAGTGAGGAAGCTTGCATTATATAAAAATGCTAAAGGTGACTTCATGTGGCGTAGTTGAGGTCAGTGAGTTCTAAGCTGGTTGACCACCAGAACCATGCGGGTGAGCGAGGGGTGTTAAGAACACAGATGCCCAGCCTTCTCTGGAGATTCCCATTTAGTGAATCGCGCACAGCCCCTGGGAATCTGTTTCCGGAGTTTCCCAGGTGATCTGGTCAGCCACATGTGGCTTATTCTTCCTTGATGCCTACCCAGATCTTAAACTTGCCTTCCAGGTAAAGTAAGCCATGCTACAACTGGAAAACTCAATCTGAAGTCCTGTAACTAATAGGTAAACATTTTGAGGAACACTTTGAGGACCTGGGCCATGTCCACCCGCCTCCCCTATCCTCAGTCTGAGTATGGCTCAGTGACTAGTACAGTGCCTGCTACATTGTTACTAGCTAGTAAACTGGTTGAAATAGGGAACGTTTCTTTTTTTGGTAAATGGTGTCTTGAGCACTTGCCATATTTAAGAATTGTGTTTTGCTTTTGTTTTTTTGGTCCTGCTCTTCATGGCATTGAGCTGTGATGTTAACATCTCTAATGGGGCAGGCCAGTCTAGCATTGAGTTCTCCTCCTGGGAAAGAATTTGAGGATGCGTACTTTTTAGATGACATCTACTGAGTTATATTTAATAGATTGTCATTGAAGTTAGTGATGGATGAGCCTATGTTGGTGCAGATTTTATTAAAATTTTAAATTTGAATGTCTCAGATTTTGTTTGATGTTTGTTACATTATGATTATTCAAAGTAACAAAACTTCAAGTGCATTTGATACTATTAATATATAAGGAATAGCCCAGGAAAATGGAAAGATATTATATTAGAATAAAGTGATCTGAAGAATTTGTGCTTTTGCCAGTGTTTTTAAAAATAACGTCAGTTCTGCTAGGAGGGTAAGGATCTCATAGTAAGTTGTTAACACATAAGAATATTAGGGCCAGGCACGGTGGCTCACGCCTGTAACCCAGCACTTTGGGAGGCTGAGGCAGGCAGATCACAAGGTCAGGAGTTTGAGACCAGCTTGGCCAACATGGTGAAACCCCATCTCTACTACAAATACAAAAATTAGCCGGGTGTGGTGGCAGGCGCCTGTAATTCCAGCTACTGAGGAGGCTGAGGCAGGAGAATCGCTTGAAACAGAAAGGCGGAGGTTGCAGTGAGCCGAGATCGCGCCACTGCACTCTCTAGCCTGCTCGAAAGAGCGAAACTCTGTCTCAAAAAAAAAAAAAATTAATATATCTTCATGTTAGTTTGCCTCGGTCACGAAAATCATTGTTGGCTTAATGTCATTGATACTTAAGGTACCCGTGTGACTTTGACAGAGACCTCCTTCCAAGACTATACTGTCTAAAAGAATGTTGTGACTTAAGAATCTGAACATTCCAGCAGCTGTTGCTGAGTCGTATCATCAGTGTTTAGTTGAATTTTAGAGTTGTGAGCCTAACAGTGCTCAAGTCTGTTTTTGTAGTCTGACCTTTTCCTGCTGTGGGCCATAGTTATGATTTCAGGGTACAAAACTTTGGGATGGAAATGAGGCATAGTTGTTGAAGGCCTATCAGGTATCTACTAGATTTACCATTTGTTTCATACATTTCATTCTCACCACTATACAAATTAAACTGTCCATGGTGCACAGTGGGAAGAATGAATGCTATCACTTGGGATATAGAACAAATTGCTTTTTGTTTGTTTTTTTTAACTTTTCAGATTTTTTTTTTTTTTTTTTCGAGACAGGATCTCGCTCTGTCACCCGGGCTACAGGGCAGTGGGGCAGTCATAGTTCACTGCAACCTCGAACTCCTGGGCTTAACGGGTCCTCTTGCCTCAGTCTATTATCCCCATTTTATAGTAACTGACATACAGATAGGTAAAGTAACTTGCCCAAAGATACACATTTGGCAAATAGTGGGGCTGGGATTTGAACTCAGTGTGGTGCCAAAGTGCATGATCTTAACCAGTATAGGATACTCAAAATACGAAGATGATATAATAGCCTGAATGAAACTTAGCACCTAATTTTAATAAATGTTAACGCTTTACCATATTCGTTTCAGTGGTTTTTTTTTTTTTTTTTTTTTTTCTGAAACCCATTACACATAGACCACTGCTCCTCTTTAAGTAGGAGATTGTAGGAGATGATATCTGTGATTTTTTTTTTCTGGTTCCATCAGATTCTTTTTCTGACTTTCAGCATCCCTCTTGCAAATATTGGTCCTTCCGCTGGCGGTTTGACAATGATTACCTTTTTTACAACTGGTGAGAATACATTGAGCTGTTATTTCTGGAGTATTTGCCATGTGCCAGGCACTGTGCCGGGGGTGTAGATATAACCATGAGAAAGGACCCTGTTCTGGGCAGCGTGTGGAACTCATAGTCTAACAGTGTGGGAAGGTGGATTTATTTAAGCATAAGGTGCATCATTTTTGTGGGAAGTAGCTGATGTAGCTTGTTAAAGACACAGATTTGATGATTTTAGTGATTTCTGGTCTGCTTGTTGGATTCCATAGGCATCTTTAGCCTTGGGTTAGTAATTCACTTATTTATATTTATTTTCTGGAATATAATTCCAGAAATATGTTAAAATTGGGAAGGATCTGGAATTCTAAAGGTCAGGCTCTCTATTGCCTCCACCCTGGGTTGGCTCTTGGTTGGCTCTGAATTCTACCTTGTAGGTGGAACCCCGGAGTGGAGTTGTGGTAGGTCCACTTGGCCTTGTACTCTGTTTCCAGCTCTTGAGTTGTGGAGCTGGAGAGGGCTTCACCTGGGTCTTGCCTCCAGAAGCTCCTTGTAGGCCTGAGGAGTCTCAGGACTTGGCATTGCCCTGGCTCCTGTGGCACGAAGACCTCAGGTCCTGTGGAAGTTGAGCAGCAATGTGTGATTTGAGGGGAGCTGACTTGTTTTTTTTTGGTTTCCCCAGACCTTATCCATTCACTGTGTGTTCAAAAATAGTAAAATTAGCATATGGTAAACCATACTTAAAAATCGTAAAATTAATTTATTAGAATTTAGAAATATTACCGGATCAAAAATTTAATATTAAGCATATTGAAATAATTTTTAAAATTGAATGAATAAAGTTAGTTTCAACACTGCTGGTGTTAGCAGTGTTGAAATAATAATAATAAGCATTATTACAGAATGACGGCTTGGTTGTCCAGACGTTACTGTTAATTAGAGTAGTCCTAATAAGAAAGGAAGCGCTGATGAGTCTTCTCGATTTACTTACCGCGTTTCAACTTTATTTCCAGCAGATGGTTCTGAGTGGTGGTTTTTTTTCCCACCACCCCCCCTTTTATATTTAGGAGATTAGCAAATGCTTTTGGAACAGATAGTAGTATTTTGGCATTTGTTTTAGTTAAGACTTTTGGAATCTATCATGCAGTGTCTTGACAGAAAATGGGCTCCTTCTGAAATGAGATGATAAAGAGATGCTCTTGTCAGATGATTCTCAGGAGACGGCAGTAGCTGTTTCTTAGACATATGCCATGACATTTTAAGAAAATTATATAATCATTTTCTAACCGCCGCCCCCCACCCCGCAAAGTTCAGGAAGTTTGTATAAAAGTTCTAGGAAGTAAGTACACTTCTTAGAGAGCCAGTGTTGGAATTAGCCTGCATATGTAGATGGGAGTTCTTTTTCTGCAGTTCACTAATGTGGGCAGTTTAATCAACTTCTCAGTGCCTCCCTTTTCTCATTTGCAAAACAGGGATAATTTCTACTTTCTTCACAGGGTTTTTGTAAAGATAGAGTGTAAAAGCACTTTTAAAGTTATTAGGGATGCATAAATGTAATTTATATGTTAGTATATATGTGTTTCTTTTTTTCTACTAGAAACAAGCATAATATTTTAAGTTTTTGCAAAACTGCTTTCTTTGAAATTAGTGTTTGATTCTCAGTGATCACAAGTTTTTTTTTTTTTTTTTTTAATTTCAAGGAGTATTCTGAGGCTTGCTATTTTAGGACTTGGAGAGCTTATAATAAAAGACATTAATCCAATATAGACGAGAGTATTATTATCTAAACATGTGTTGATGACTTTGTGCTTTTAGGTATACCAAGCTTGGCTACGCAGGCAACACTGAGCCCCAGTTCATTATTCCTTCATGTAAGTAAAGCTCTATCCTTGGGTTTATAAAGGTTTGTGTTTCTCAGAATTGTTCTAAGTGTTCTGATTCTGTTTTTCAAGGTATATTAATGTACTTACCATCTTCTTTTAGAAGACCGTTCTGGTTACCCCACAACTTTCTAGTCCTTCTGTTCCATTCTGATAAAGCCCCTTGTCACTGTCGTTGGAATCTCAGCTTGGATAGTCAGCAGGGTCCATTTATTCAATTATAAATGCCTGAACTGCCTAGAAAAAGTATATCTGGTCTTTAAGGTAAATTTGTAATTTTAAGTACATACAGTCTGTTAGCTTAGTAACTTAATGGACTGAATATCTCTTGTACTACACTATTCACTCTATCGAAAGATTCTTTTTTTTTTTGGTGGAAATGATAGGCCTGATGACTGTTTTTATTGTGTTTAGTAGTATTCTGTTTTTGTTTAAGTTTTAATCAGTAGAGAATAACAGAAGTGTCCTTGCAGTTTGGCATGGGGCGTTCTACTCACTCTTTATTTCCTGTAGGAGTCTTCCCGAGGTTAGTCGGTTGTTAAAGGATAGGATTCTTGGCTGGGCGTGGTGGCTCACGCATGTAATCGCAGCACTTTGGGAGGCTGAGGCGGGTGGATCAGCTGAGGTCAGGAGTTCGAGACCAGCCTGACCAACATGTTGGAACCCCGTCTCTATCAAAAATACAAAAATTAGTTGGGTGTGGTCGCAAGTACCTGTAATCCCAGCGACTCGGGAGGCTGAGGCAGGAGAATCACTTGAAGCTGGGGGGTGGAGGTTGCAGTGAGCCGGGATCGTGCCACTGCACTCCAGCCTGAGTGACAAGAGTGAAACTCCGTCTCAAAAAAAAAAAAAGATAGGATTCCCTGGAACTATCTGTATTTCAGGTTATTATTTGGAAACAGTTTTCTAAAGAGTAGGATGTATTAATCAAGAGAAAGTGAAACTCTGTTCTCTACATGTAGCTCTAATAAGATAAGTTGTGATTTTAGAAATTGTAAGTTTTTAGGGGGCCACGATGTTGTAATAACAGGCTTTGTGAACAGTGGGGAACGTCGACAGGGAAAAAACAGCTGGAGAGAAGGTGCTTGATTAGTGCTTATTCGGGGAGGGCTAAAGCTCTATTTGGTGAATGTGGGTATTCACATCACTAGAAAGCGGACTCCAGATTCTTTGAGAACATTTAAGTAACCTCATTCCGGTTCCTTGCTTGCTGAAAAACTGGCCATGAATGTGATTTTCTAGATCTAAACGCTCTGCTGCCATGAATGGGTTATCCTGATGACAGGCATGATTGGTCTGCTGTGTCCTCATTTTGAATTCAGAAATGAGTGTCTTAGTGTGCTTGGGCTGCCATAACAAAATACTAAAGACTGGGGAAATTAATGTTATCATAGTCTGGAGGTTGCAAGTCCAAGATCAAGGTGCTGTCAGGGTTGGTTTCCGGTGAGGCCTCTCTCCACGGCCTGCAGAGGGCTGCCTTCTCTCTGTGTCCTCCCATGGTCTCATCTCTGTGTCAGTGTGTGGGGTTGCTGGGGACCTCGCTGGTGTCTCTTTCTCTGCTGATAAGGCCACCACTCTTATTGATGGGGACCCCACATTTACCCCAACCACCTCTCTAAAAGTTTCATCTCCAAATACAGTCACATTGAGGGTTAGGGCTTCTGCGTAGTGAATTCTGTGGGGACATGGTTCAGTCCATGACAATTGGTGTTCTGTAGGATGAATCAGTCTTTTGTGAATTTCATTAATGTGAATGCCCCAGAACCTGATCATTCCATGCTGAGTTGATAAATTGAACTCCCTGACTTTTCAAAGCAGAAGATTAGATTTTAACCTTGTTAAGTGCGACAGCTATAAAAGGCTGACCTTGCACCTTTTGCTTTAATGTGTTGCCATTTAAAGCTGTCGGTAGCATTCAGTTGGCTGCCCCATTTAACCTGTCATCATTAATAGAGACGGGAAGCGAAGACAGTTATTATCAGGATTTCATTCACTGTCAAAAAGCAGGAGAGCTCTCAGGCTGCAGCTGTCAGAACCTTAGCAGTCGCAGAAGCTAGGAGGATAATACAAATGTCAAAGAGGTGGGAGTAAAAGAACAGTTACATTGTTGGGCTGAGTTTGTTGTGAGGGGGGGGGGAGGGGAGGGGGAGGGGGAGAGGGAGGGAGAGGGAGGGAGAGAGAGGGGGAGGGGGAGGGGGGAGAGGGGGGAGGGGGAGGGGGAGGGAGAGAGAGAGAGAGAGACAGAGAGAGAGAGAGAGAGGAGAGAGAAGAGAGAGAAGAGAGGCAAGAGGGGCCCCAGGAGTCAAGGTTAGAAGATGTTCGGGCAGAAGTGAGGATACTGAGATGTGGAAGTGAGGCCCTGGGTCACCGTGGACAGTTGGCCTGCTGCGTGTCTTGGGGCTGGGAGTGGAACCATTTTGTGCAAGTGTGTGGATGTGTGTGCTGAGTGCTGGAGCAAGACTTTCTCTGCGTGGCATGGAGGTGAGGTGCTGTGGGGGTGTGGAGAAGCAGGGGTGCTGTGGGATGGTGGGGAGAGCGCCAGGAGGTGGAGACCTGTGGGGAAGGACTGGGTGGCAAGGGACTTGCAAGTGTCCTCTTAAGGAATTCTGTTTTTATTTTGCATACCAGGAATTTTCAGACTGTTTTTGAGGCTTCTCTCTGGGGCCTGGCCCACTGGACTAGAGAATCCTCAAGCCCCGTCCCTGCCTCCAGGGGCAGCTCTGCTTATGTCTGGTTTGTTGGAGCTTCTGTGCAGAATTTGCTTGGTTGCTTGAAGAAAGTTATTCCCTACTTTTTTTTCTTAAGTCGTTGGAGGATATTGGTGGTCCTGCCGCAGCTTCAGGCGGAGAATGTGTGGTGATCAGAGAATGTGTGGTGTAGAAAGAGGCTAGAGGAGGAGCAGCGAGGGGCTGAGAAAAAGGGCACACATTTTAGACATTCAATATTGGAAGAGTTCAGGTGTGAAGAGGTTTAAGGCCTAGGGAAGAGAGTTAGGCTGCAGCTAGAAAATATAACAGTGGGCTGGGCGCGGTGGCTCACGCCTGTAATCCTAACACTTTGGGAGGCCAAGGTGGGCGAATCACCTGAGGTCAGGGATTTGAGACCAGCCTGGCCAAAATGGCAACACCCCATCTCTACTAAAAATACAAAAATTAACCCGGGATGGTGGCGGGTGCCTGTAATCTCAGCTACTCGTGAGGCTGAGGCAGGAGACTCACTTGAACCCAGGAGGTGGAGGTTGCAGTGAGCCGAAATTGCACCACTGCACTCCAGCCTGGGGGACAGAGTGAGGTTCCGTCTCGAAAAAAAAAAAAAAACAAAAAACAAACAAACCCCACACACAAAAAACCCCATGGACTCACCACCAAGAATGAACACGTCATTACTGCATATTTCATCTCTGTATCAGAGTAAATGAATAAATGGCACATTATAGGTTGAGTATCAGACCTCTCTTCTTTTCCTCTTTTCTTTCCTCTGGTGGATATTTTCTGGTTGTGTTTCTACTCCATTTTTATCCATATATTACATGTACAAAGATACATTGTTTTGTGAGTTCATACATTTCCAATATGGTATCACACTGTAAATAACTTTCTGCATGGTCTTTAAAAAGAAAAACCCTCAATATTATGTTTTTATCATACATACAGATCCACATCAGAATTCTAACGTGAATATACAACAGTTTTTTTCCTTTTGGGCATTTTTCACAGTTCTCTGTTATATAAAATGGTGCAGTAAAAATTTCCTTATGCGTATCTGCTAGTTTCCTGAGAGGAAATAATCAGAAATTGTTTTGTCACAGAGCGTACACCCCTTCATCCTTAGGCAACACCTAATTAGGTATTGCCACGTTACTCCTCCAGGAGGCTGTTCTGATGGATATCCCATCAGCAGTGTGTGAGAGTTTCTGTTTCATAGATTCTTGATAATTGGTATTGTGTGACTTACATTTTGGTCAGTCTAATGAATGTAAAATGATGGCTCATTCAAAAAATTTCTATTTCTCAGATTACTGGTAAGGTTGAGCACCTTTCATTGCCTGTTCATATCTTTGCCCATTTTTCTATTGCATTTTTAAATGGAATTATAGGAACTCTTTGTAGAGGTTAAATATGAATTTTTCGCAGATACTTTTTTATTCTATGACATTTTTAAAAATTATCTTTTATCATCTAGAAATTTAAAATTTTGATATAGTAATACTTTTCAGTCTTTTTCTTTTATAATTTGTTTCTGTTTAAAAAATGCATTTCTACTCCAAAGTCATAAAGACTTTCTATATTTTTTCTAAGAAAATTTTAAGTTAATTTGTGAGTATGGTGTGAAGGAGATAGGTAATTTTGTTTTCCATGCGGAAGGCTAGTTGTCCCAACACTATTTATTAAAGAGTGTGTTCCCATTTGGCACACCTCTTTGATCATATCGAGGTACCATTTATGCTTGGGAATGTTTTCGGTGTCTTTTGTTTCATTGATGTATTTATCTGTGTTCCGTACGTTCCATACTCACAGTGTTAAACACTATTACTTTATCATGTTTTAATCTAGTGGGTTCGATTCCTACTCATTTTTTTTCTCAGAATAGCTTTGGCTCTTACTCTTTAGTGTTCATTTTAGAATCAGCTTAAGTTCCATGAAAATTATAATGGGGTTTTGATTATTATTATTATTATTTTTATTTTTTTGAGATGGAGTTTCACTCTTGTTGCCTAGGCTGGAGTGCAATGGCGTGATCTTGGCTCATTGCAACCTCCGCCTCCCAGGTTCAAATGATTCTCCTGCCTCAGCCTCCCGAGTAGCTGGAATTACAGGCACCCACCACCACGTCCAGCTAATTTTTGTATTTTTAGTAGAGACGTCCAGCTAATTTTTGTATTTTTAGTAGAGATGGGGTTTCACCATGTTGGCCAGGCTGGTCTGGGAACTCCTGACCTCATGATCCTCCTGCCTTGGCCTCCCAAAGTGCTGGAATTACAGGTGTGAGCCACTGTGCCCGGCCTTGATTATTATTTATAGATTAATTGGGGAAAAATTTGACGTCAAATTTGACTTTCATGGATAGGAATTGAGTATTCCTATCCTTGAAGATGGTATATGTGTTTTATTGTTTATTCATGTCTCTCGTGTTTTTCAGTAGTGTTCTAATGTTCTAAAGTTTTTTTTTTTTTTTTTTGAGATGGAGTCTTGCTCTGTTGCCCAGGCTGGAGTGCAGTGGCACAGTCTCAGCTCACTGCAATATCCACCTCCCGGGTTCAAGCGATTCTCCTGCCCTCAGCCTCCCGAGTAGTTGGGACTACAGGTGCACGCCACCATGCTCAGCTAATTTTTGTATTTTTAGTAGGGACGGGATTTCACTATGTTGGCCAGGCTGGTCTTGAACTCCTGACCTTGTGATTCACCCACCTCAGCTTCCCAGCGTGCTGGGATTACAGGAGTGAGCCACTGCGCCTGGCCTTAAAGTATTCTTTAAAAAGCTCTTACAGGCCAGGCGCAGTGGTTCACACCTGTAATTCCAGCATTTTGGGAGGGCTAAGGTGGGTGGATCACTTGAGGCCAGGAGTTAGAGACCAGCCCAGCCAACATGGTGAAACCTTGTCTCTACTAAAAAATACAAAAATTAGCCGGATGTGGTGGCTCACACCTGTAATCCCAGCTACTTGGAAGGCTGAGGCATGAGAATTGCTTGAACCTGGGAGTCGAGGTTGCAGTGAGCTGAGATTGCGTCACCGCACTCCAGCCTGGGCAGCAGAACCAGACGCTGTCTCAAAACAACAACAACAACAACAACAACAACAAACAGCAACAACAAACAACAACAACAACAACAAAGCCCTTACACTCGTACACAGAGGGCTGGACACAGTGGCTCACACCTGTAATTGCAGCACTTTGGTAGGCCGAGGTGGGAGGATTGCTTGAGCCCAGGAGTTTGAGACCAGCCTTGGCAACATAGTGAGAACCTGTCTCTACCAGAAATAAAAATAAATTAGCTACGTGTAGTGACGCTCACCTGTGGTCCCAGCTACTCGGGAGGCTGAGGTGGGATGATTGCTTGAGCCCAGGAGATCGAGGCTGGAGTGAGTTGTGATTGTGCCACTACACTCCTGCCTGGGTGACACAGTGAGACTTTGTCTCAAAAACAAGCAAAACCCCAAGACAACTCTTCCATAGTTTTTGCTAGCTTTATTTTTAGGTACCTTTAAGTTTTCGTTGCTGTCGTCAAAATATTTTAAAAATTCTATTTTCTAATTCATAATTGCCAGCATATGGGAATGTTACTGAGGTTTGTAAGATTTTTTTTTTTTAATCCAGCAACCTTTATTGACCTCTCTTATTTAACAGTCTGCAGATTCTTTAAAGTTTTCTATGCAGACTATTGTATTGCCTTCAAATAGTGGTTATTTTGTCTCTTCCAATTCTAACACTTCGTGTTTCTTTTCTTGGTCTTGCTGTGTTGGCTAGAACTTCTATTAAAATAGTGATCAGAACTGCAGACAGCAGGTGCTTTTTTGACTTTCTGACTTTAAAGAGAATGGGATTTTATTATAGTACTCTACTAGTGATAACTGTAGGTTTTTGTGGAAATGCTTTTTCAGATTAAAACAGTGCTCTTCTATTCCTAGTTTAATCTGAGGGTTTTTTTTAATTAAAAAAATCATGAATGACAGTGAGTATTGACATTTAGTCAAAGCTTTTCTGTTATTGAGATGATCATATGGTTTTGGACATTTGTACTCTTTCTTTTTTTTTTTTTTTTTTTTTTGAGGCACTGTACTTTAAGGCTGGAGTGTAGTGGCTTGATCATGACTCACTGCAGCCTTGACTTTCCAGGTTCAAGAGATCCTCCCACCTCAGCCTCCCAAGTAGCTGGGACCACACATGGGAGCCATCATGTCTGGCTAATTTTTAAATTTTTCATAGAGATGGGGTCTCATTATATTGCCTGTCCTGGTCTCGAACTTCTGGGCTCATGCAGTCCTCCCACCTTGGTCTCTCAAAGTGTTGAAATTATAGGTGTGAGCCACCCCACCTACTCTTAATAGGAGGAGTTACTTTAATACATTTTCGAATATTGAACAGTTATTTCTTTTCTTTTTTTTCTTCTTGTAGAGATGGGGGTCTCTCTTTGTTGCCCAGGCTGGTCTCAAACTCCTGGCCTCCAGTGATCCTCCTGCCTCAGCCTCCCAGAGCACTGGGATTACAGGAATGAGCCACCTTGTCCAGATTGAACAATTATTTCATTTTTGGGATAAATCCTACTTGGCTATGAAATATGAAGTACATGCTGAACTGTAATTGCAAATATTTACTTGAGAACTTTGCATCAATATTCAAAAGTGAGATTGGACTGTAATTTTGATTTCTTGTTTTTGTCTGGTTGTGTATCAGGATTATATGGGCTTCATAAAATGAGTTTGTTAGCTTTCTTTTTTTATTCTCTGGAACAGTTTGCATAAGATAGGAATTGTTTATTCCTTCAAGCTTTAGTAAAAATATCTAACAGTCTTTTGAGAAATATACTGGATTAAAAAATTACTATTGTTGTGTCTCTCAACTGTTGTAGCAAATGTTCTGAAGTATCTGTGTCTTAAGTCCTTAGATACAGTCTTCTCGATAACCTTCCTTAGATTGCCCTCAGATGGCTTTTTTGGCATTTAGGAAAGTAGTCATGTCTTTTCTTGGTAACCCACATCCTATAATCCTATACCCAAACACAATTTTTTTTGACTGCAGAGCTTGTTAGAAAAAATAATTGTTCTTTTTTTTTTTTTTTTGAGACAGAGTCTTGCTCTGTCGCCCAGGCTGGAGTACAGTGGCATGATCTTGGCTCACTGCAACCTTCACCTCCTGGGTTCAAGCAATTCTGCCTCAGCCTCCCAAGTAGCTGGGATTACTGACGTGTGCCACCATGCCCGGCTGATTTTTGTAATTTTAATAGAGACAGGGTTTCATTGTGTTGCCCAGTCTGGTCTTGAACTCCTGGCCTCAAGCTGTCCACCTGCCTCAGTCTGTCAAAGTGATTAGAGGCGTGAGCCGCTGTGCCGGCCCATTGTTCTTTATTACTAAGTTTAATCTTTTTAGTTTTGATTCATCATTATAGCTGAAGTGTTTTATTTTCTAGTTTAAGTCATTTATAAACTCTGTATTTAAAATATTTTATTTTGAAATAATTATAGATTAATAGGAAGTTGCAAAGATAGTTTAGAGAGATCCTGTGTACACTTTTCCTATTTTGCCCCCAAAGGTTACATCTTACAAATTGTAGTGCAATATTATAACCAGAAGTGAGACCCTGTCTCTAAAAAATAAAAACAAAAACAGACCAGCCCCAGGAAACGGATGTTGGTACAATGTGTGTGTATAGTTCTATGTCATTGTAATTCTACCTGTAGATTCCTTGAACTACCACTGTAATAAAGTTACAGAATTATTTTCTCACTACCAAGATCTCTCTGG